>NC_000006.12:104313214-104464729 GCF_000001405.40 Homo sapiens | reverse complement strand
CTCCTGGGGTCAAGCAATCCTCCCACCTCAGCTTCCCAAGTAGCTGAGACTACAGGTGCATGCCATCATGTACAGCTAATTTTTGTATTGTTTTTGTAGAGACAGGGTTTCACCATGTTCCCAGGCTGGTCTTGAACTCCTGAGCTCAAGCAGTCCTCCTGCCTCAGCCTCTCAAAGTGCTGGGATACAGGCGTGAGCCACCGTACCTGGCCTGCTTTGTTTTCTTTTTTTTTTTTTTTTTTTTTTTGAGACGGAGTCTCGCTCTGTCGCCCAGGCCGGACTGCGGACTGCAGTGGCGCAATCTCGGCTCACTGCAAGCTCCGCTTCCCGGGTTCACGCCATTCTCCTGCCTCAGCCTCCCGAGTAGCTGGGACTACAGGCGCCCGCCACCGCGCCCGGCTAATTTTTTGTATTTTTAGTAGAGACGGGGTTTCACCTTGTTAGCCAGGATGGTCTCGATCTCCTGACCTCATGATCCACCCGCCTCGGCCTCCCAAAGTGCTGGGATTACAGGCGTGAGCCACCGCGCCCGGCCTTGTTTTCTTAACTGTGAACTTTTTTTTAAATAAAAAAACTTGGATGAACTTTTTTTTTTTTTTAAATGAAAGCACAAAATGTCATTTACTATTCCTTATAATGTCAACAATTTGGCTGGGCGCAGTGGCTCATGCCTATAATCCCAGCACTTTGGGAGGCTGAGGTGGTTGGATGACGAGGTCAGGAGATTGAGACCATCCTGGCTAACATGGTGAAACCCCGTCTCTACTAAAAATACAAAAACTTATCTAGGCGTGGTGGCACGCACCTTTAATCCCAGCTACTTGGGAGGCTGAAGCAGGAGAATTGCTTGAACCTGGGAGGCAGAAGTTACAGTGAGCCAAGATCGTGCCACTACACTCCAGCCTGGGTGACAGAGCGAGACTCCATCTCAAAAAATAAAATAAAATAAAATAAAGGCAACAATTTAAATATTTTTACCTTTGTTGTCTATATAATATTTTGAGGGGGAGTTTCCTAAGAAGCAATAAAAGACACATTAAAGGAAAGGCAAATACATTCCATCTATTTGTGTATTATCATCGCCGAGGCTCCTCTGCTTTAATTAATTATCAGTACAGAAAATCATATTAGGTTGTATTTTTGGAACAATAAATCCTCCAAGAGAATCCACATTGATGAAATCTGAGGGGCACAGTTGCAAAGCTCACTCTATCGTATTCCTTAAGGGAAAAGAAGATTTCTCAGTGTTTGCTATTTCTGAATCAGTTGCCAATGTTTGGTGCACTTTGTTTCCTGACACACATTTCCTTAGTGAGTGGCAAATTACGCAATGACAAGATTATGTTGCTGTCCTCCCCGGGAAGTCTGTGGAGCCAACACTTCATGCATCTCTGACTGGAATCTAAGGTGGCTTGGGAACATAATAGCACCATTTAGTGGCAAAATGATTTTAATCTTTAAAAAAGGTGGCATGGTGTTTATTAGATCATTTTAAGAGCTATAGATTAGTCAGCCATAAATGTACTATGTAGGCATGAATCAGTTTTTCTTTCTTTCTTTTTTTGTATGTATCACTTTTAACATCTCATGTATCTATGGATAACAGGTTCTCAGGTGAAGCGCCAAGTATGTCACTGAAAGCCCAGTGGAGTTAAGTGTGCAAAGTCAGTCTGAACATATGCTGTAATGGATTTGACCTCGAATAGCACTACAAAGAGAAATTGCAGATAACCATCTGAACTGACTTCTGAAGCTTGTAGTTCTGGCTCCTGAGATACAGAGAGAAAAGTGAGACCAAACAGGTGGGAGCAAACAACTCAGAGAGACCAGAATGAATACGAGTCTAACTTTAAAAGTAAATAAAATTAAATAAAAATGATTTATTCTATAGCTCTTTGTCTTTTATTGGTTCCCACACAATGTCCACACAATAAACAGTTTTCAGCACATGTTATACTTTTTCTGATCACATTGGTGTCTGTTAAAATAAGGCCCAGCACTTTGGGAGGCCGAGGCGGGTGGATCACGAGGTCAGGAGATCGAGAACATCCTGGCTAACACGGTGAAACTCCGTCTCCACTAAAAATACAAAAAATTATCCGGGCGTGGTGGCGGCACCTGTAGTCCCAGTTACTCCGGAGGCTGAGGCAGGAGAATGGTGTGAGCCCGGGAAGCGGAGCTTGCAGTGAGCGGAGATTGTGCCACTGCACTCCAGCCTGGGTGACAGAGCAAGACTCCTTCTCAAAAAAAAAAAAAAAATGAAATCAGTGAAACCTTAGACTTTAAGTGTTACACAACATAGAGGTGACTGAGTCTTACCCACTACCCCGGGGGAAAAAATAGTCTTAACAACAGTAATTTTGGCTAAGAAATGAATGCTTCCTGTGATGGGCATCTCAGTAGTTTATGGTTGGTTACTATTTAAAATTGCAGATATTATGAGATATTATAGTAAGCATTACTTATGCCATTTTTTGCCATGGCCAGCCTATTGATAGCATCTACACTACTTTGACTGCCGAGAGCTACTACTGTATATGTCTGAAGTCTTTATTTTGCATAGTCCTTTATAATCAATAACTAGTATTTGTTATATGGTGAGCTAGACTAAAGTCTGAAGCATGTGGTCATGAAACAGCTTCAAGCTAAGTGGCTTACCAGGCATTCAGATCTGCTACCTTGATCTTATGTTACCCAAACCTGTAGACAATATGCTCTAATCAGCTAGGCCATAGGAATTTTGTATAGACTCTCACCCATATGAACATAAACATACACACAAAGGCCTCCCTATTTGGAAAGTTATTCAATGGTACTAGAAAAGGGACTATAGAGATCATATGGATTATGTGATTTTGGATTTTGCTATTCTATGTACAAGCATAAATGTACATTGTAAAATAAAGAATAATGGAAATATAAGAGCAAAAGTTCCAGGAACCATAGAAAACAGGGAGTTTTACCAGACAAGGCAGAGATACATTAATTACATTGATTTAACTTGAGGTTACAATGAACTTTGATTTTTTACTTTCTTTTAGAATTGTTTTCTTTTGTAGTGAAATGGCTAGGTTTTCACATGAAACATTTTTGAAATCATTTGTTACCTAGATGCAGCAATACATTCTTATAAGTATCAAATTATGTGCCAGTAGTTATGGCTGCTATGCTGAACAGTTATTTCTAAGTAATGCTTGCAAAATACTCTACTATGTAATTCGTTCCTGTAGTTGTAGACCTACTGATGGCACCCTTTAGAAAAATGTTTCTTTACAATTAACTCCCATGGTGAAGATGGAGCAAAATGACTTCCAAGTCATCTTGTATTGTCTTCCTCTTTTCTGCTGGGTTTTTCCCTCCTGTTGTTTGCAGTCTGAGACCAGTGGAAATATAAGATCATGCCAGACATATGATGATGCTAAGAGGAGGTACTGTTGCATGTATGCAAAATGTCAAGCCCTAAGCTGCCAGGTTTGCATCTTGTTTGCAAATGATATAGAGCCAAAATGCTGAGTGTGCTATTGTAGGCCTGAACTTGCTCTAGCTAAAATAAACAGATAAAATAAGTGGTAGCCTGGAATATAGGGAACGTTTAATATAACTGCCAACAGAAATATTCAATGCTATAAAACTACAATGTGAAGGCAAACATATTTATAATGGACATTATTTGGATAATTTTTTTGTGTTTCTTGCTCTAATTTTGGAGACTCAGAGCAAAGAACAGACAGTATGTAGACAAGCATCTGAAAGTGATAGTTTCTGTTTGTTTTTTCACATGTCTGAGAGTGAAGCGACTCAGCCCCAATCATTATCATTTTGCTGGTTTTTTAAAAGTGCTTTTTCTTGTTTTATGGAACATGCAGAGCTAAGTGCAGCAGCATGAGTGACACTGTGCCATGGGGTGGGAAGTTGAAGTCATTGAACACTCTGAATTCCCTCAGTGTGTCTCAGTGGCAGAACCCCTTGTACTAAATATGTGTGTGCTGTTCCACTGAGAAAATGTTCAATAACATTCTGTGTTTCTCATTTCATACCTATGGAGAAGAAGCTCAGTGGCTGCCTGTTGAGTTTCATTGTGGAGTACAGATGGTCTGGTTCAAGGTTCTTTCAAAGGCACACAGAGAAAGAAGTGATGTTTCTGCTTATTTTTCTAAAATTATGTGCATTTTTTGTCTTAAAATGTATGCTTTGCACAGTCAAATATGATATTGTTTTAATTTTACTGTATGTAGAATACATGAAAACTTTAACAGTTCTTCTGAAGAAGTAGACATGAGGACTGCCTTCTGCCAGTCAATCAAGTAGTGTATATAAAATCAATTGTTGTATTTTCTCTAGTCTCTTCTGGGTAAATGCTGAGTTTATATATAATAAGAATATATATAGTTGCACTTGCATTGTGACTTTTTCTAAATGCAGCTAAGTATCTCTTGACTGACTGAATTATCTCCTTTGAGGATATTGTTAGTGAATGCCTCAGACTGTGAAAGTAAAGGAATTAGCAGAAAGATAAAACTATATCTTAATAACATACAGACAATATTTTAAAATCCTTCAAAACATTAGGAAAAGTCCTTGGAACAATTAGATAGTTGACATTTCATAACACATTTGTTAAATGGTTAAGCACTGAATGGAGAAATGTCCCTGCTGTTTCATAAGCAGTTTTTGGCAAATGATCTCTTTCCCCAAGTTATACCTGTGTCCAGCCTTACACTTGTCAGGAGACTATATCTTTCAATGGACTTTTAGCTGGTAAGGGGATATTAACCTCTTTTTTCATTATGTAAAAAATTTCTTCTCTTCAAAGCAGAGAAATGGTATGCAGTTGACTTTAGCTTTCTTGCAAGAAAAGTGTGATGGTGTATTGTGTTAGAGGATATGTAAATGGAACTTGAAAACTCACCTGTGAATTTAACTATGAACACTACTTGAACTATCTGCAATGGCTTGAAAAGAAAATCATGACAACTGAAACTGAGAATGGAAAAGGAAAAGTGAAAATACAAACAAGGTAAAGGTGGGAGTGCAGCTTTAAATGGAGAACCACACTGTAATATAAAGTGACTTCGCTGAGTCCATTTCCTTTCTGAAAATAAGCTTCTATTTCATATGTAATTATTAAATAAAAAATAGAGCAAAAAGGGGAAAAGCAGTTTAGGTTCTGGTCATATGTCAGAACACATAAATGCCAACCCAACACAAAACAAGCAGACAGATGACCTCTTGCCCTAGATTGTGGTAAGTTATTTGTTTGATAGATGGTTTTGAGTTCACCAAACTGATGTTTTTGCATTGTTTATAAAATACATTCTATTTAAATAGGAAATATAGACAAGCTGTTTAGCAAAGTACTTCGGAATATCTTGAAGCTACATCACAAATTAAGATATTCAGTTTTTTTTCTCCTTTTGGAGGAGAATGTTCTAAATACAAAATTGATGAGAATGAGATTCTTATGTATAAAATAAATTTGACTTGAAAGGAATCTCTGCCCTCAAGTGGAGTTGAGATTTGGGTTTATTAATATAGAAATTACCTTGAAGCCAGGCGCAGAGTTTTTAACCACATCAGTCATTTACGAAGTTAATGATAACATGCTAATAAATTGCTTGTAAGGGGAAGCTTTGTTCAGAAAGAAATAAAGAAAGAAGAAACACTTTAATGATTTATGTTGATCATGGAAAAAAATGTTCCTACAAGGATTGAACGACATTGGCTTAAAAAAATAAGCAGAAGTTAATAGACTCAAGGATAAAAAGCAAAAATAAAAATGCAGGATGCCTGGCTAGGAATGAGCATGATACAAAAAGAATTGGCTGCTATAATCGACCAAAAAGTATGTTCAGATATATGAATGTGTTTGACTCTTTTTAGATTTACTAGATTAAAAAGTCAAATAATAGATTTGTGAGTGTAAGTACAAGTTATAGTCATCATTGGTGAGCTGTTGTGAAAAAACAAATCCAGTATATTCCTAGCTTACATTAAGGACAGAAGAGAAAGAGATGGGCCTGAAAACAATCTATCTTGACACCAGTCAGAAAGTTACTCGGATGTTGTGCTTCATCTTGTTTCATATGCTTTTAAAGTCATGTGGCTAAAGGAAATAAGTTTATAAAAGCATATCATAGATGTTAAAGTTTGGAAAAGGGTCAATTGGGTTGAAATTGTTAAGTGATGTAGAGTTTTTATGAGGTAAATATATGGTAATTGTTTCTGACATCCATAAGCTGAACTACTCATTAGTTAATAGTACGTTTATGGAAGGCTAATACATGGGCACTTTGCCAGGTATTACATGGGGTTCAGAAAAGTCTTAGCGGTCTTTGTTGCAGAAGAAGTTTGCAACCTACTCATGGAAGACATACCAGGCATTAAAAAATTAACGATAAAATAAAGTGATGTGGCTATTGATTATAAGAGACATAGAATTTGACAAGAAAAGGGGTATTAGTATGATTTGCTGGAGAGGGCTTCTTAGAAACTATGGTTTATTTGGGTTTGCAAAATAAGCAAGACTTGGGAGGAGAGTTGAGATGAAAACATTTTGGCGAGAGATGCAAGGTGCGAGGAATATGTATACAGACAAAGGAGCGGAGACGGTTGGCGAAGAGTGCAAAATGTTTATTTTGGTTTCAAACTGATAGAAATACAGTCCTGAATTCTGAAAGTTTCATATTTATTTTTGTTGGGATTGCCACATTGTGTGGTAGATAAATATATATGTTTGGCAATGCTGAAGTTAAAATGAAGAAAATTCTGGTCTCAATATTTTAAGATTAGAAATGACCTTAAATATATGTCAACTTCTCATTTCACGTGTGAGATTTAAAGAGATGAAGTTAATGATGAAGGTTACCCATCTTGTCAATCCTAGGATGGGGATAAAAGTCAGATCCCTTGATTCTAGGCTGGTGTTATTTTTGCTAACATCGCCTGAGTTTTTTGTATGAAATAAAATGAAATGACAATTTTGATCCTGTTTTTAAAGCCTTCTTTCGTACTTTTGAACCAATTTTTTGAAATTTACTGGTTACCATCCTTGGAAAACAAGTCTGATGAAATTTACAAGCAATTGCTGATCATAGGTGTTTATGCATTAAATCCATTGAGATTACTCGGGGGTGAAAAGTTCCTTGTGTCGTTAGTGATATTCTTTTTTTTTTTTTTTAATTTCATTACACTTTGGCATTTATTTATTTATTTTTTTACATATTTATTTATTTATTTATTATTATTATTACTATTATTATTATATATATATTTTTAATTATACTTTAAGTTTTAGGGTACATGTGCACATAGTGCAGGTTAGTTACATATGTATACATGTGCCATGCTGGTGCGCTGCACCCACTAACTCGTCATCTAGCATTAGGTATATCTCCCAATGCCATCCCTCCCCCCTCCCCCCTCCCCACCACAGTCCCCAGAGTGTGATATTCCCCTTCCTGTGTCCATGTGATCTCATTGTTCAATTCCCACCTATGAGTGAGAATATGCAGTGTTTGGTTTTTTGTTCTTGTGATAGTTTACTGAGAATGATGGTTTCCAATTTCATCCATGTCCCTACAAAGGACACGAACTCATCCTTTTTTATGGCTGCATAGTATTCCATGGTGTATATGTGCCACATTTTCTTAATCCAGTCTATCATTGTTGGACATTTGGGTTGGTTCCAAGTCTTTGCTATTGTGAATAGTGCCGCAATAAACATACGTGTGCATGTGTCTTTATAGCAGCATGATTTATAGTCCTTTGGGTATATACCCAGTAATGGGATGGCTGGGTCAAATGGTATTTCTAGTTCTAGATCCCTGAGGAATCGCCACACTGACTTCCACAATGGTTGAACTAGTTTACAGTCCCAACAACAGTGTAAAAGTGTTCCTATTTCTCCACATCCTCTCCAGCACCTGTTGTTTCCTGACTTTTTAATGATTGCCATTCTAACTGGTGTGAGATGATATCTCATAGTGGTTTTGATTTGCATTTCTCTGATGGCCAGTGATGATGAGCATTTTTTCATGTGTTTTTTGGCTGCATAGATGTCTTCTTTTGAGAAGTGTCTGTTCATGTCCCTCGCCCACTTTTTGATGGGGTTGTTTGTTTTTTTCTTGTAAATTTGTTTGAGTTCATTGTAGATTCTGGATATTAGCCCTTTGTCAGATGAGTAGGTTGCGAAAATTTTCTCCCATGTTGTAGATTGCCTGTTCACTCTGATGGTAGTTTCTTTTGCTGTGCAGAAGCTCTTTAGTTTAATTAGATCCCATTTGTCAATTTTGGCTTTGGTTGCCATTGCTTTTGGTGTTTTGGACATGAAGTCCTTGCCCACGCCTATGTCCTGAATGGTAATGCCTAGGTTTTCTTCTAGGGTTTTTATGGCTTTAAGTCTAATGTTTAAATCTTTAATCCATCTTGAATTGATTTTTGTATAAGGTGTAAGGAAGGGATCCAGTTTCAGCTTTCTCCATATGGCTAGCCAGTTTTCCCAGCACCATTTATTAAATAGGGAATCCTTTCCCCATTGCTTGTTTTTCTCAGGTTTGTCAAAGATCAGATAGTTGTAGGTATGCGGCGTTATTTCTGAGGGCTCTGTTCTGTTCCATTGATCTATATCTCTGTTTTGGTACCAGTACCATGCTGTTTTGGTTACTGTAGCCTTGTAGTATAGTTTGAAGTCAGGTAGTGTGATGCCTCCAGCTTTGTTCTTTTGGCTTAGGATTGACTTGGCGATGCGGGCTCTTTTTTGGTTCCATATGAACTTTAAAGTAGTTTTTTCCAATTCTGTGAAGAAAGTCATTGGTAGCTTGATGGGGATGGCATTGAATCTGTAAATTACCTTGGGCAGTATGGCCATTTTCACGATATTGATTCTTCCTACCCATGAGCATGGAATGTTCTTCCATTTGTTTGTATCCTCTTTTATTTCCTTGAGCAGTGGTTTGTAGTTCTCCTTGAAGAGGTCCTTCACATCCCTTGTAAGTTGGATTCCTAGGTATTTTATTCTCTTTGAAGCAATTGTGAATGGGAGTTCACTCATGATTTGGCTCTCTGTTTGTCTGTTGTTGGTGTATAAGAATGCTTGTGATTTTTGTACATTGATTTTGTATCCTGAGACTTTGCTGAAGTTGCTTATCAGCTTAAGGAGATTTTGGGCTGAGACGATGGGGTTTTCTAGATAAACAATCATGTCGTCTGCAAACAGGGACAATTTGACTTCCTCTTTTCCTAATTGAATAGCCTTTATTTCCTTCTCCTGCCTGATTGCCCTGGCCAGAACTTCCAACACTATGTTGAATAGGAGCGGTGAGAGAGGGCATCCCTGTCTTGTGCCAGTTTTCAAAGGGAATGCTTCCAGTTTTTGCCCATTCAGTATGATATTGTCTGTGGGTCTGTCATAGACAGCTCTTATTATTTTGAAATACGTCCCATCAATACCTAATTTATTGAGAGTTTTTAGCATGAAGGGTTGTTGAATTTTGTCAAAGGCTTTTTCTGCATCTATTGAGATAATCATGTGGTTTTTGTCTTTGGCTCTGTTTATATGCTGGATTACATTTATTGATTTGCGTATATTGAACCAGCCTTGCATCCCAGGGATGAAGCCCACTTGATCATGGTGGATAAGCTTTTTGATGTGCTGCTGGATTCGGTTTGCCAGTATTTTATTGAGGATTTTTGCATCAATGTTCATCAAGGATATTGGTCTAAAATTCTCTTTTTTGGTTGTGTCTCTGCCCGGCTTTGGTATCAGAATGATGCTGGCCTCATAAAATGAGTTAGGGAGGATTCCCTCTTTTTCTATTGATTGGAATAGTTTCAGAAGGAATGGTACCAGTTCCTCCTTGTACCTCTGGTAGAATTCGGCTGTGAATCCATCTGGTCCTGGACTCTTTTTGGTTGGTAAACTATTGATTATTGCCCCAATTTCAGCTCCTGTTATTGGTCTATTCAGAGATTCAACTTCTTCCTGGTTTAGTCTTGGGAGAGTGTATGTGTCGAGGAATGTATCCATTTCTTCTAGATTTTCTAGTTTATTTGCGTAGAGGTGTTTGTAGTATTCTCTGATGGTAGTTTGTATTTCTGTGGGATTGGTGGTGATATCCCCTTTATCATTTTTTATTGTGTCTATTTGATTCTTCTCTCTTTTTTTCTTTATTAGTCTTGCTAGTGTTCTATCAATTTTGTTGATCCTTTCAAAAAACCAGCTCCTGGATTCATTGATTTTTTGAAGGGTTTTTTGTGTCTCTATTTCCTTCAGTTCTGCTCTGATTTTAGTTATTTCTTGCCTTCTGCTAGCTTTTGAATGTGTTTGCTCTTGCTTTTCTAGTTCTTTTAATTGTGATGTTAGGGTGTCAATTTTGGATCTTTCCTGCTTTCTCTTGTGGGCATTTAGTGCTATAAATTTCCCTCTACACACTGCTTTGAATGCGTCCCAGAGATTCTGGTATGTTGTGTCTTTGTTCTCGTTGGTTTCAAAGAACATCTTTATTTCTGCCTTCATTTCGTTATGTACCCAGTAGTCATTCAGGAGCAGGTTGTTCAGTTTCCATGTAGTTGAGCGGCTTTGAGTGAGATTCTTAATCCTGAGTTCTAGTTTGATTGCACTGTGGTCTGAGAGATAGTTTGTAATAATTTCTGTTCTTTTACATTTGCTGAGGAGAGCTTTACTTCCAAGTATGTGGTCAATTTTGGAATAGGTGTGGTGTGGTGCTGAAAACAATGTATATTCTGTTGATTTGGGGTGGAGAGTTCTGTAGATGTCTATTAGGTCCACTTGGTGCAGAGCTGAGTTCAATTCCTGGGTATCCTTGTTGACTTTCTGTCTCGTTGATCTGTCTAATGTTGACAGTGGGGTGTTAAAGTCTCCCATTATTAATGTGTGGGAGTCTAAGTCTCTTTGTAGGTCACTCAGGACTTGCTTTATGAATCTGGGTGCTCCTGTATTGGGTGCATATATATTTAGGATAGTTAGCTCCTCTTGTTGAATTGATCCCTTTACCATTATGTAATGGCCTTCTTTGTCTCTTTTGATCTTTGTTGGTTTAAAGTCTGTTTTATCAGAGACTAGGATTGCAACCCCTGCCTTTTTTTGTTTTCCATTTGCTTGGTAGATCTTCCTCCATCCTTTTATTTTGAGCCTATGTGTGTCTCTGCACGTGAGATGGGTTTCCTGAATACAGCACACTGATGGGTCTTGACTCTTTATCCAACTTGCCAGTCTGTGTCTTTTAATTGGAGCATTTAGTCCATTTACACTTAAAGTTAATATTGTTATGTGTGAATTTGATCCTGTCATTATGATGTTAGCTGGTGATTTTGCTCGTTAGTTGATGCAGTTTCTTCCTAGTCTCGATGGTCTTTACATTTTGGCATGATTTTGCAGCGGCTGGTACCGGTTGTTCCTTTCCATGTTTAGCACTTCCTTCAGGAGCTCTTTTAGGGCAGGCCTGGTGGTGACAAAAATCTCTCAGCATTTGCTTGTCTGTAAAGTATTTTATTTCTCCTTCACTTATGAAGCTTAGTTTGGCTGGATATGAAATTCTGCGTTGAAAATTCTTTTCTTTAAGAATGTTGAATATTGGCCCCCACTCTCTTCTGGCTTGTAGGGTTTCTGCCGAGAGATCCGCTGTTAGTCTGATGGGCTTCCCTTTGAGGGTAACCCGACCTTTCTCTCTGGCTGCCCTTAACATTTTTTCCTTCATTTCAACTTTGGTGAATCTGACAATTATGTGTCTTGGAGTTGCTCTTCTCGAGGAGTATCTTTGTGGCGTTCTCTGTATTTCCTGAATCTGAACGTTGGCCTGCCTTGCTAGATTGGGGAAGTTCTCCTGGATAATATCCTGCAGAGTGTTTTCCAACTTGGTTCCATTCTCCGCATCACTTTCAGGTACACCAATCAGACGTAGATTAGGTCTTTTCACATAGTCCCATATTTCTTGGAGGCTTTGCTCATTTCTTTTTATTCTTTTTTCTCTAACCTTCCCTTCTCACTTAATTTCATTCCATTCATTTCATCTTCCATTGCTGATACCCTTTCTTCCAGTTGATCGCATCGGCTCCTGAGGCTTCTGCATTCTTCACGTAGTTCTCGAGCCTTGGTTTTCAGCTCCATCAGCTCCTTTAAGCACTTCTCTGTATTGGTTATTCTAGTTATACATTCTTCTAAATTTTTTTCAAAGTTTTCAACTTCTTTGCCTTTGGTTTGAATGTCCTCCCGTAGCTCAGAGTAATTTGATTGTCTGAAGCCTTCCTCTCTCAGCTCGTCAAAATCATTCTCCATCCAGCTTTGTTCCATTGCTGGAGACTGGAGCTGTCGTTAGTGATATTCTTAAGCGGTCTGAAGGCTATCATCAGAGCAAAGAAAAATTATTTTTACATTTTCTTTATTGACATATGTTGACCTTTTAATCCCACTGATTGACAAAGTCACTGAAGATATGTTCTTTCTTCCGTGGCTCCTAGCCCTGGCTGGCTTCCATATTCATGTCAAAGGTGCTTTACATTCTGCTGCTGCTACCATTTTCTAGCAGCTGGCAATGTGCTTGTCTGTCCATTAGTGGTTTGGAAAATGATTAATAAGCTCCCCCACCCCACACTGAAAAAGGGGAAGCTCCAAATCATTCATAAATGCACAGGGATGAATTTATGCACAGGAGACAGTGACCTCCTTTGGTACAGTGGCCCCATGGGCACCTAGCAACTGAAATATATGTTCTCATGCTAATGTGGAAAACCTGAGAGACAATGCAAAATTCAATTTCACTTATCAATGTGTACACTTATAAATTGTAATGTTATTTTTTACAACTCAAATTAAGGCTAAGAGATATAATGGACTACCTTTTAAGGTTTTTGAGTGGGTTCAATTTTTATTTATGTTACTAATGCCAAACATTATTCTAAGACTCATTCCCTCTTGAGCCTGTCCATCCATTATGTGACCTGAACAACCTTCCTTATTCCTTCTATATTTATAGAATTTTCTTTCTTGGTTGAATTAAAAAGAAAAAGAAAGAATAAAACAGCCTTCTTTTATTTAAGGTGACTAACAGACAACCATAATTATATATATATGATCATATATATATATATGGTGTTCTTTCTGCTAACACCTGCTGAGGCCATAATTTTATATATAATTATATTAATTAAATATATGATTATATAATTGTATATAATGCATAATTATACATAATAATCTCTCCTATATATAATAATCTCATTCATATATATATATATATATATATATATATATATATATATATATACATATATAGGAGAGAACTGTTCTTTTCCCAAGACACATCATATCCTTAATTAATATAGGCCACCTGGGGCATTAATAAGTATTTTGCATTAAAAGAATTGAAAACAGAAGGTAAACATTAGGAAAGGAGGGTCACAAAGTGAATGGTTTCAGGAATAATTCTAAAAATATCTTAAAACTATAAGAGCAGTCATATTTATAAAGCACCCACAAGATATTGTTTTATTTTGAATTAGATTAAGTAGTTTGAAATTTTTTACCACTGAACCACTTGGAAAGTCATCATTTTTAAAATTTAATTCACTCCAGTTGGCTAAATCACTTGATTGCTCTGTATTCTTTAAAGGTGCAATAGTCATCACCATTTGATTCAGTAAAAAGCAAAATCCTTGAATAGATGAGATGGAGCCATCTACAAATTATTCATTAAATGACTGAATTATTTTTGACTTGATTGATTTAGTATCATTTTTATTCAATTTTTGGGCTTCTTTAAAAAGAGTCAGGATGGTGTACAGTAGAAGAAATATCAAGCTGAATATTGAATTTTTCTCCTGATTGTTTAGTTTTCTGGAAGATCTTGGCTGAATTTCAAACCCCAAGTTTCCTATCTGTAAAGTAAGAGCAGAACAACATAATATAAATATCTATAAAGATAAAATAATACACATAAAACATTTTGAACTTTAAGATGTTATAGATATTTATTTCATTGATATTACAAGTATCTGAATTAGTTTCAGAACCTTTTTTTCTGTCATTTTTTTCCACACTCTAATAATGCTTCTTTGCAATGCCTATGTTTTCTTCCTCTTGTTTTTCTCAACCACTTTGCTTCCTGGTTTTTTTTTTTTTGCCTTACTTTTACCATTTGAAGCTATGAGGTTTCCCTATGAATATTGTACTGCCTATGTGCTCGTTGCCTTCTTCATTGTCAGGGTCATCGTTAGCGTCCTTAAGGATGGTTTTAAATTTTCTTTTATGGACATTGGTATATTTGAACTTTCCATTTTTTCTGTAAGATATCATTATATACTATATATTTGAACTTCTTTTGTGTATGTGCATCACATCCAACTATGGTGTGTGGGTGCAGTTAGGGAAGGAGAGTATGTTTTATGAGAATTTGAACTTCTCTATGTTAGACATTAATGAGTTTAGTAAAATGCATTTTGGAGTTCAAAGATGGAACCAATTTTTAGTAAAGTTGTGAAATCATGACTCTCTGGAAGGCCTAGAGATGAGAGGCAAGTCTGTAGGTTCTGGCTCTTTGGTGACCCCATGAACAATAGCCACAGTGATTGTGCTTGTGGTGTACATTCAGCACACGTTTTCTGTCTCCCCATTTAGCCTTGACCTTTGATCTTTTCTGTAACAGAACTAAATATGAGCATGTTGTCTGACCTCTCTAGGAGAGGCACTGAGGAGCCACAGGGAAACTAACATAGAGATTTATCCTCATAGCACCTCTTTGTTGATCTTGTGGCTGCCCTGATTAAACATAGTATTTTTATTTATGAAGAGCTGTTATGGAGACATTGTTTATTAATTTAAAAATATTTATTGAAGATCTACTATAAATAAATCACTGTTCAAGTGCTAGGAATACTTTAATGAAAAGGGAGGCATGATTATAATCTGACAGGACTACCCTTAGTTTTGTTCCTTTGGGTATAGGTCATGAAGACTAGGGAAATCATAGGACCATTGCTTGCAGGAGGTCATTTTCATTTGAAATTTTGACAGATCCTGTGGAAATACCTGTTTAGTATATTTTATTCTTTGCCACCATTTTTGGAAATAATATATTAAATTTGCATATTTTTTTCTTCTCTGTTCACATTGTCAATCACAGAGTCATGGAGTTTCAAAGACAACAAAGTTTGAAATTTTAGTATACTCTATGAAATCACACAGAGATTATTTCTGTATTGTTCATTTTAGAGAGAAAAAATTGTATTTTATTTTCATGGGGCCTTGCAAAACAATGCTAACAAAGTTTTTCTGGCAGTGGATAAAGAACTGTTTTCCTGAATTTCTTCATGCATTCTGAATCCACAATAATGTTGCATTTAAATGATTTTTAAAGTTGTCCTCTGTGAATTGACTAATTCATTTGTCTATGTATAATTTTTATTATATATTATTTAAGATCTACTGAAATGTGTAAAACTTTTGTATATTATGAAGCATAATAGACTGCAGCTGGGAACATGCCTACCTGGGCTGACGGTGAGTAGGTGTTCACCTTAGTGGCTGTTGAGGTCATTTCTGGCTCTTTCTGTTCTAATTACTTTGGGATTATGTCCCACCATTGGTTAAACATTTTGGATATTTCCCCCATCACCATCCAAGTTTTGAACAAGGGCATTATCAGTACTGCTGAATGTATCTTTTTGCTGCCTTTGACCACTATCCTGAGTTGTGTGTATTTCATTTATTCCCTTTTTTTTTTAAAGTTTTGCAACAAAAGAGTATGTCTCTAAACAAGATATTTTGCTTTCTTGTTTTGGGTTTTATAAAAATCATATAATCCTATACACATTTGTATAATGCTTGACATTTTCACTCAGTATTTTGTCTCTCAGTCTGAGAGAGTCTGTTTTGTGCAGTAGCTAATTCTTTTTCACAGCACTCTGCAATGCCACTTCTGCCATAAACTACATTTTCTTACATCTAGGAGCCTGTTTCTGGGCTGTCTATTCTGTTGCATTGGGTCAAAGTTTCTTTCGAAATTCCCTACTTTAATAACACATTGTTGTAATTGTCCTTTGTAATAAGTGTTGATATCCACTAGGGCAAAACTCCCATTTTGTGCATATTCCTCAGGAACATCTTGGCAATTCTTGAGCTTCTGTTATTCTACAAAATTTTTAGTATGAGTTTTTCAAGTAACTTGAAAAAAGTTGGGATTTAATTAAAATGTACTCATTCCAAAAATAATTTTGAAGAAAATTAATGCTTTGTAAACTTCAGCCTTCTTTGTAGCAGCCAGCATTCAATCAGAGAAAAAAAAAAAACAACAACAAAACAAACAGAGCCAGCAGGAGATATCTGTCAAGAGATTTATGGCAAGGAATTGGCTTACATGACTGTGGGGCTATCTAGGACATGCTGTCAGGAAGAACAGGCTGGAACTTCTGGGACATGCTGAAACTATTGTCCGTATATGGAATTTCTACTTCAAGGAAGTTTCAGCTTTGCTGTTAAGGCCTTATAACTGATTGAATCATGCCCACCAAGGTTATGTAGGATAATCTCCCTTATTTAAAGTCAACTGAATTTAGACTTTACAAAAATACCTTTATAGCAATGAGGCAGGAGAATAGGGTCTGGAGACAGGGAACCTAAGGCCATTTCACACTTACTTCCGAGAACTAAATTGAAAGGCAAACCCTAACTTTCTACACGTAAGTAACAAAAGGACCAGAGGCCACTACTCCCTTTGCAAACTCCCACCTTTTCTGATGGGAAATTGAAAGTACATCTGATTGGTACAACCAATGAGACATTTGCATAGGAGTGTAAATTTATAACTTCACCCTCTAATTGGTTGCTTTCTGCAACCAAACTGATCGTGGGCCACCACTTCATTGATATGGGATGAAAACCAAGTGGTCAACGGGAAACCTCTAAGGGGTATTTGGACCCAAAAAATTCTGTAAGGGGGCCCCTTAGCCACTGCTCCAGCTACTCCCACCCTGTGAACTACACTTTCGTTTTCAATAAATCTCTGCTTTTGTTGCTTCATTCCTTCATTCTTTCCTTGCTTTGTGTGTTTTGTCCAATTCTTTGTTCAAAACACCAGCAACACGTGTGTCCAGAATTGGTGGGTTCTTCGTCTCCCTGACTTCAAGAATGAAGCTGCGAACCCTCACGGTGAGTGTTACAGTTCTTAAAGGTGGCGTGTCCGGAGTTTGTTCCTTCTGATGTTGAGATGTGTTCGGAGTTTCTTCCTTTTGGTGGGTTCGTGGTCTCGCTGGCTCATGAGTGAAGCTGCAGACCTTCCTGGTGAGTATCACAGCTCTTAAGGCGGCGCGTCTGGAGTTGTTCATTCCTCCCGGTGGGTTTAGTGGTCTCGCTGGCTTCAGGAGTGAAGCTGCATACCTTTGTGGTGAGTGTTACAGCTCATAAAGGCAGTGTGGACCCAAAGAGCGTGCAGTAGCAAGATTTACTGCAAAGAGCGAAACAGCAAAACTTCCACAGTATGGAAGGGGACCCCAGCTGGTTGCCATAGCTGGCTGGGTAGGGCAGCCTGCTTTTATTTTCTTATCTGGCCCCACCCACAACCTGCTGATTGGTCCATTTTACAGAGAGCCGATTGGCCCATTTTACAGAGAGCTGATTGGTCCGTTTTTGACAGGGTGCTGATTGGCGCATTTACAATCCCTGAGCTAGACACAAAAGTTCTCCACCTCCCCACTAGATTAGCTAGATACAGAGTGTGGACACAAAGGTTTTCCAAGTCCCCACCAGAGTAGCTAGATACAGAGTGTCGATTGGTGCATTCACAAACCCTGAGCTAGACACAGGGTGCTGATTGGTGTGTTCGCTAGACACAGGGTGCTGATTGGTGTGTTTGCTGGACACAGGGTGCTGATTGGTGTGTTTACAAACCTTGAGCTAGATACAGAGTGCTGATTGGTGTATTTACAATCCCTTAGCTAGACATAAAGGTTCTCCAAGTCCCCACCAGACTGAGGAGCCCAGCTGGCTTCACCCAGTGGATCCTGCAGTGGGCCGCCCGTGGAGCTGCCTGCCAGTCCTGCGCTGTGGGCCGGCACTCCTCTGCCCTTGGGTGGTGATGGGACTGGGCGCTGTGGAGCAGGGGGTGGCGCTCGTCGGGGAGGCTGGGCCCGCGCAGGAGCCCACGGCAGGGGGGAGGCTCAGGCATGGCGGCTGCAGGTCCGGAGCTCTGCCCTGCGGGGAGGCAGCTAAGGCCGGGCGGGAAGTGGAGCACAGCAGCTGCTGGCCTAGGCGCTAAGCCCCTCACTGCCTGGGTGGCGGGGCCGACTGGCCGCTGCGAGTGCGGGGTGGCAGAGCCCACGCCCACCCGGAACTCACGCTGGCCTGCAAGCGGCCCGTGCAGCCCCGGTTCTGGCCCGCACCTCTCCCTCCACACCTCCCGGCAAGCTGAGGGAGCCGGCTCCGGCCTGGGCCAGCCCAGGAAGCGGCTCCCACAGTGCAGCGGCGGGCTGAAGGGCTCCTCAAGCGCGGCCAGAGTGGGCGCCAAGGCCGAGGAGGCACGGAGAGCGAGCGAGGGCTGAGGGCTGCCAGCATGCTGTCACCTCTCACCTGGACACCCTCCACTGGTAACAGCAACACCTAGAATAATATTTGATGAAATAACTGACACAATTTGGCACATAAAACTGACCATCACACTTGTCACAAACTTGGTAGGTTTCTCCATTTATTTATATTTATTTTTCCATATTGAATGCCTTTTTATAAACCAATTTTCTCTCTACTGGTCTACTTTTTAATTTATGTTTTCTAGCAGTAACACCTCTTGGTGTAGGGAAGTACAGTTGATTTTTATATATGGATTGATTTATCTAACTTGTTAAACTCTATTTTTAATACTCTTTCTGGAGATTCTCTTGGGTATTTTATTAGTATGTATGCAGTTATATCATTTGTAAAGATAATAATTTTTATTGTTATTGTGCTTATGTTTTTTAAAGATTAATTTTAAAATTACATATGGTGAAATTTATTCTTTGTGTTGCACAAAGTTCTATTACTTTCAGCAAATGCATGAAATCATCTGTTTACCACTACAAGCAAAATAAAGAATAGTTTCATCATCATCCAGAACTCCTCTGTGCCACACACTTGTGTGCAGTTCTTCTCCTCTCCCACAAACTCTGGCAGCCACTGATTTGTTTTTCATCCCTGAGTTTTGCCTTTTTTAGAATGTTGCAAAAATGGAATTTCACTGTGGGTGAATAGTTGTTGTTTTTCCTCTTAGGAAATTCCTATGAATGTATGTTTAACTTTCTAAGAAACAGCTAAACTGTTTTCCAAAGTGTCTGCACCATTTCCATTGTCACCAGAGTTCAGTTACGTTGCATCTTTGTTAGTACAAAAAGATGTTCTTACTTTTTTCATTTATTATGCTTGAGTTTTAAGGGTTTAACATGTTCTGAATACAAGCCTTTTATCAGATATGTAATTTGCAAACATTTTCTGCTAGTTCAAGGTTTTTCTTTCTTAATAGTGTCTTTTGTAGAGTGAAATATTTTTAATTTTGATTAAGTCCAAGTTATTATTACTTTCTTTTCTATTTCATGCTTTTGGGGTCAGATCTAAGAAATCTTTGCCTAATTCAGCATTGCAAAAATTTTCTCCATGTTTTCTTCTGAAGTTTTATAGTTTTACATTTTATACTTATATCTATGATATGTTTTGAATTAATATTTTGTATAAAATGTGCAGTGTGGGATGAGATTCATTTTTTTTTGCATATTGATATCTAATTTTTCCAAGACTGTGTGTGTGTGTGTGTGTGTGTGTGTGTGTGTGTGTGTAGGTGTTTGAAACAAAAAGACAAACATGCTTGTTTCTACTACCCAGTGGGAATTTGGCTCTTATTGGTCAAGAGTAAAAGAGTAAAATATGCACATTTTAGTCACCTCACATGGGAAATTTAGCAGCTCAAACACATTGAACACAAATACCCCAGTTACAATAATGTAACTGCATATGGTCTCTGATGTGGTTACTGCAGGCATACGAATAGAGGGAAAGTGTTATTTTATATTGCAGTAGCAGACTTTTTTTTTTTCTTTTTTTGAGACAGAGTCTCACTCTGTCACCCTGGCTGGAGTGCAGTGGCACTATCTCGGCTCACTGCCAGCTCCGCCTCCCGGGTTCATGCCATTCTCCTGCCTCAGCCTCCTGAGTAGCTGGGACTACAGGCGCCCGCCACCACTCCTGGATAATTTTTTGTATTTTTAGTAGAGACGGGGTTTCACTATGTTAGCCAGGATGGTCTCGATCTCCTGACCTCGTGATCCGCCTGCCTTGGCCTCCCAAAGTGCTGGGATTACAGGCATGAGCCACCACACCCGGCCAGTAGCAGAAATTTCTGCTTTGTATCACCTCCCAACAAGACTGTGTATTTTTTTTTTATTATACTTTAAGTTCTGGGGTACATGTGCAGAACTCTCAGGTTTGTTACGTAGGTATACACGTGTCATGGTGGTTTGCTGCATCCATCAACCTGTCATCTACATTAGGTATTTCTCCTAATGCTATCCCTCCCCTAGCTCCCCATCCCCCGACAGGCCCCGGTGTGTGATGTTCCCCTCCCTGTGTCCATGTGTTCTCACTGTTCAACTCCCACTTATGAGTGAGAACATGTGGTGTTTGGTTTTCTGTTCTTGTGTTAGTTTGCTGAAGACTGTGTGTTTTTAAGGTACCTAACTATTGCAGCAAAATTTCTAGGGAAAAAGGGCAACATCTGTGTAATTTGGTCAGTCGCGACTATCAAGTATTTGAGCAAGTGTGATGTGACAAGTGGTATACAACCCAAAAGGTTGTTATAATGAGGAAGTTCTGCAAATTGAGTGCTGGACTCCACCTGTAGCTTATAACCACAGAGAACATAAATCAGATATTATCAATTCCCTGAAGTCTGTGTCCATAATCAAAACCTTTTCTTCCAACATGTTTAGTGATAATCAAATCTTTATACCTAGACATGATGTCATGGGGTAAAGGGAGCTAGTAGTTGTTAAGCTTCTGCTGAATGGTACCACAGAATACAGTGTTTTACATACATCCAAATTCAATCCATTTTCACATAAATCTAGTGTGTTAAGTATTAGTATCATATTTCCATGGTTTAAGAGACTGAAGTTCAGAGAGTTATAAGAGTTTACTCACAGTCACACACCTAGAAAATAGAGGAGCCAGGTATCAAACACAATTATGCTTCCAAAGCCCATGAGTGAAATCCAGGAATGATTCTTTTCTGTAAATCCTTAAATCCCTTTTTTATAAGAACATTCTCATTGTTGCTAAGAAATGACCTTTCCTTGCTTTAGAAAGCTTGTTGCTTAGTCCACAGTCCTCAATATTGAAGTTCTTTTGGCTGAAGTTGTTGATTGGACTCATTTAGCTCCTCTTTACATGGTTCTAGTCTGTTCTAACATTATAGCTCTGCTAGGCAATGGGGCCATATAGCCTTGGCACTGATGGAATTAAAGAAAAATAATGAAGTTTCCATCATTCACAAAGCGATCTTCTACCTTAGGGAGAGCTATAAAAGGACATACAAAAATCAAACAACTGAAAAATAGTGGTTGTTTACTGTCAGCAAGGAGGATTGCTTTTTACTTTTTCTGTTTTCAATTAATTTACCTAATGTAACATTTAAAAATGTCACCTTCCCTCTCAACCTCAGTAATAAATGTAAGTTTTTTCCTGATTTAATTTTAGAAGCCTCCCCATTTACTTTCCGCAGCTGCTTCCCTTTTGGGTTGAGTTGGATTGGGAGGGAGGAAAAAAAGATGTGGAAAGAAAGTTTCTGCAACATGCCATTTCTTTAGCTCATACTAGTACAAGCTTCCAGAGTTGTGTCAGTTTATTAAGCATGTATAAATGTGTGGATACAATGGTAGGGTTGAAGAAGAATAACAAATTGATGAGGAGTTAATAAAACCAAACACCATAAAAAGTATCCTAGCTATTTTTGAAACAAGTGATTTAAATAAGCTGTTACTGAATGAAATAGAAACCTTTTGCTTTGCAGTTGATGTATATTAGTGCCTGTGTGTTACACCTTCACTCAGCTCCCTAGCATGGTGCCAGAGACAGTGCTTCCCAAAATTTTATATGCATTCAAATCACCTGGGATTGTTGTTAAAATGCAGATATGCTCTGCACATCAGGTCTGGGGTGGGGCTTGAGATTGTGGTTTTCTTTTTTCTTTTCTTTTCTTTTTTCTTCTCTCTCTCTCTCTCTCTCTCTCTGTCTCTCCTCTCTTCTCTCTTTCTCTCTTTCTATTTGATGGAGTCTTGCTTGCTTTGTCGCCGCCAGGCTGGAGTGCAGTGGCACCATCTCAGCTCACTGCAACCTCCACCTCCCGGGTTCAAGCAATTCTCCTGCCTCAGCTTCCCAAGTAGCTGGGATTACAGGCACACGCCACCATGCCCGGCTAAGTTTTTTGTATTTTAGTAGAGATGAGGTTTCACCATGTTGGCCAAGACAGTCTCGATCTTTTGACCACATGATCCACCCACCTCAGCCTCCCAAATTGCTGGGATAACAGGCGTGAGCCACCATGTGGATTTCTAACAAGCTCCCAGGTGATGCTGGCACTGCTGGTCTTTGGTCTGTCTTTTGAGTAGCAAGGGTGTAGAAATTTTAATCTTTGAAAGTATAATCTTGTTAAGGATTCTATATGGGAAGTCTGGCTACGTTTACATATACTTTACCTATATAAAGAGAAGAATTTAGGTTAATTTTTTTTTTAATGGAAAGCTTGCACTCAGTATTTTTAAATAAGGAAGACAAAATGAATAACAGCTGTACTTGATGATTTAGTCTACGCCAGGCACTGTGCTAAGGTCTTTACATATATTATGTTATTTAATTCTCATATCCATGATGAGAGTCCTAGTTTATTATTTACATGTATGATAAGTAAACCAAGGCATAAAGCAATGGCTCCATAACTGTGTGAGGCCACAGAGTTAATAAAGCAGTAAAGGCTGCATTCAGACTTTGGTTGGTTGTTGCCTCTAAAACTTGTACTGTTAATCACTACTCTATTATAAAATATTGAATAGTGATTAAAAAACCCTTTTCTATGGAATGAAATGAAGATGAGCATAAACTTTTAAGTCTGATGTGGGTTCAAGGCCTGAGTCTTATATTTAACCCTGAGAAAATCTTGTAGTTCCAGACACCTCATTTGAAAGCAGAGATTCTATTTGCTCTGCTCTTGTCTGCATGTTGACGTTGTGAAGTTCAAATGAAATTATGACATGACATATTTTGTGACTTGCAAAATAGCACAAAGAGGTAGCATCCCCACCATTTATTGTCCACTGCATGTGAAAAATAGGCATGATGACTTCACAAAAACTCAAATATTTGGTCCAGTCTCATTTGATGCTTGCCAGTAGGAGAATCTTCATGAAATAGGGAGCTTGCTGCATTTGAGTCACAGCACAGAGTGAAAATATGTCTGGTTTAGGACACTCAGTACTCTCTTGCCCAATCTTGGGCCAATTGCTTTATCTTCCATTTGAAGAAGGTGAGATGGTGGTCTCTAAATTACTTCCCACATCTAACAGCTAAGTTTCTGATTTTTGCTTCCAACTGATTGATAACTGCTGTCTTGCAAGGTTTGGATGATGATGATAATGATGATGACGGTTTTGTGACTTTGCCTCTGTTTCTTTGTGGATAAATTTTCTCAAATTCTAGTAAAGAAATTAATTTTCTTGTAAGCTATGACTAGTTTTCAGTTGGAGTGAATTCAAAAGTAGGAGAGAACGTAAAAGGATGATAAAATAAGGTACAATTTGCAGGCTGGGAGTGGAGATTTCTGGTCAGTACACAATATTTCAGACAGAGGCCTGTTTTAGGGAAATGTGTGAACTGCAACCCAGCTTTAGTAGATATTACAAATCTCAGACCTGAGGAGAAGCAGCAGGAGCAAAGTTATTTGCTCAGCTAGTATGGAATCAGGAAAAAAAACCAGGAACAGAATAAATTCCTGAGCTCCATGGAGAGAGTGGAGAAGTAAAAGTTGGCCATGTTTAAGTGGAGATCCAGAAACCAGACAAGTGCTACCAAAGAAAAGTGAATGACTCAGATGTCTGTGACACCACAGGGAAAACATAAAGAAAGGGCGTGCTTTTTACAAATAATAATAACTGCCATTTAGTGCTTTTCAATTTACACATCACCATTAAGTATAATGCTGCATTTTATTTTGATAACATTCCTTTGTGATATAAATATGTATCTCCACTCCACAGATGAAGAAGTTAAGGATTAGAGAGGTTATTTATTTACTCCTGAAGTGGAGACACTATAATAGAGACTCTAAATTCCATGCATTTCTCACCTATTCTGTAGGCTCATTTGAGCCAAATTTAATAGAATGCATTCATTCCACAAAGCAATAAAACTTCCCATGTAAAATTACTTTATATATATTCTTCTTGTTCTAAAAATTGATTCTCACAACTTAGATTATGCTAGCTTCAATTCTTTTATTATTATTATTATTTTTTGAGACTGGTCTTGCTCTGTTGCACAGGCTGGAGTGCAGTGTTGCGATCTTGGCTCACTGCAACCTCTGCCTCCTGGGTTCAAGCAATTCTCATGCCTCAGCCTCCTAGGTAACTGGGAATACAGGCGCACACCACCACACCCAACTAATATTTTATATTAGTTGTACATGTTGACCAAGCTGGTCTTGAACTCCTGATCTCGGGTAATCCACCTGCCTTGGCCTCCCAAAGTGCTGGGATTACAGGCGTGAGCCACTATGATGGGCCATATTAGCTTCAATTCTTAAATCTGTTCTAGGGGAATTAAAAATGCCTCTCTTTCTGCATCTATGTACCCTATAGCCTCCCACATCTAGATGCCTCTTAGAGCTGGAAAAAATTGTGTCTTCTTGCAGGGATTGGCAGGTACAGGAGGGAAGGGAAGATCATGACTGCCATTGTCTTTGTGGACCTTCACTGAATATTTTCTAAACTGTCTAGACTATCTAGAGTATGGCATTGGTAATGATAAAGCTCCTATGGATTGGCTAATATTGTAAAATATATAAAAACAATATTTGCAAAGGTAATAAAAAGGCAAAGACCCACTAGCTCTCATATAGTAACTTTTTTGAGTATTTTATGTCTCCTGCCCAATATGGGTCTCGTTTTCCTAGTTTTTCTATCTGGCTTTGACTTTTATAAGTTACTCAGATCTGTAGACTGTTTTTGAAATTATGTTTACTCTTATTTGACAACCTCCCAGTTAAATCTGATGAAAATTTGATCATATACATTATATATAAATATATATATTTAAGGAGAGCTTTAAGACTGTGTATCCCACCAATAATCATCTCTCTGCTCTACCTGCAGCCACTGAATTGGTGACTTCTGCAGGCTGGGGCCTAAGCTGCCTCTGCCTCTGCCTCCAGCTTGGGAAGAAGAAATATAATGCCTTTGGTCAAGCCTAGTCTGGACTAGGAAGCAGGTTCACAGCTGGAACCTTCCATTGCTAACCCTGCAATCAAACCTCTTCTGGGGGAAAGATTTTCTATGTGTTAATATTAAAAAAGGCAATGTTATTTATATTTCCCACATTAAAAAATTTAGATAAAATTGCTTTTCAGAAATACCCAGTGAGATACAAGGGGAATAGGTGCTTTTTACTACTAAACTCCTTGGGATCAGGTGTCATTTTCATGTTTGGCTACCTTTTATTTGACATTTTCAATTTTTTTTTGTTGTTGTTCTCAGGCTCAGGTGAATGTGCAGCCTCCCAGAACCCTCATTTAACTGCCAGGTTTGGCACCTGGTTAAATGCATTGGCTTCTTACTTGCTTTTGCATTCTCTCTCTCTCTCTCTCTCTCTCTATTGGACTTGGTGTTCTGGGCCACTTGCTTGCTAGCATATTCTAGAATGAAAAAAAGAAGCAAGTAACGTAAAGTCCTATTTTCAAATGTTGAGACTACAAACTGAAATGTTGGGACTTACTGCTAGCTCTTAACATGTGCATCTTCTTCTTCCCTAAACATATTATCAAAGAAAATTGGCCCCATAGCAGTAAAAAACAAACAAACAAACAAACAAGCAACAAACACAACTTTTCTAAATGGAGATTTAGTTATATATGAAAGATTCGTAGTAATTGATAGGAAAATCTTATTTCTGACCTGTTTCTTGATTCCTGGGGGTAATGTATCACTGTTTACTTGGATATGTTATAATAATTTTGTTTGTAAACACCTTCCTCGACTGTTAGCTTTGGTTTAATTTTTCGCTTTGTAAATTTTCTGTCTGAACAAGAAAAACCACATCTTATTCATAGGAGGAATAAGGGTAATCTCAATTTAGTTAGAAAAAGAGTCATGGGAAAACCAGCAATGATCTTGAGATTAGATTCGTGTTATATGATTCTGGTATTGTGTATTGTTCACAGGTAAGTGCTTTAGAAGTTCCTATTTGTAGGCATTTATCCTGGCATATCAGAAAAAAAACCTTTGTCATTCAATAATTTCTACCTGTTAGCAGAATGTACTTTTATAGTTTTTTTAAAAAAATTTTATTATAGTATCTATTAAATGCATACTCCAATTAATTTTTTAGAATGATACAAAGGCGGGCCAGGCGCGGTGGCTCATGCCTGTAATCCCAGCACTTCGGAAGGCTGAGGCAGGTGGATCACCTGAGGTCGGGAGTTCAAGACCAGCCTGACCAACATGGAGAAACCCTGTCTGTACTAAAAATACAAAATTAGCTGGGTGTGGTGGTGCATGCCTGTAATCCCAGCTACTTGGGAGGCTGAGGCAGGAGAAAAGCTTGAACCCGGGAGGCGGAGGTCGCAGTGATTGTGCCATTGCATTCCAGCCTGGGCAACAAGAGTGAAACTCCATTTAAAAAAAAAAAAAAAAAGAATGATGCAAAGGCTACTTTTACTGAAAGTTTTTATTAACTTGTTAACATTTGAAATGAGATGTTATGAAAGTATTGCTTATAATGGTAAAAATAGACAATGGTGATTGAAGTTAGAAGAGTGAATTTCTTGGGAGAGGGCGTGCACGAACAGGAGGGCCAAGTGAAGCTTCTGGGTGTTGGAAATGTTCTGTGTCTAGATCCGGGTCATGGGTACATGATGTATGCATATCTAAAATTTCACTTAATGTTTGTGTACTTTACTATATGCATGTTATACCTCAATCAAAAAAAGTAGAGAAAAAAGATGCAATGTTTCAAATGATACGGAATGAATTAGTTGGACTTAGATAGGCAAATATCAACTTTACCTTCTCTTGTTTCACAAAATATTCCTAACTGATATAATAAAGGCTTTATATAATTCAAGTACCAATAGGTAACAAAAACTGATAAGAAATGCATTAGTGCCTCAAACTTGAAGTTGGTAAGGGGCAGGAAATGAAATTTCAAAAAAGTGGAAATCCAGTAATCAATGAACATATCAAAAAGATGTCCAAAATATTTACCTAAATAGAGAAGCTGAGGCACAAAATATAATTTTAAATAGTTTACTTAAGGCAAAGTGAGGATAGCTGCCCAGGGCACATTTCCAAGTTGCCTTAGAAAGTGCTCCACTTGGCCTCTCTCACAAGCAGGTTTTTATTTTATTTTTATTTGTAATTTTTTTCAAACTTTTAAGTTCATGGGTACATGTGCAGGTTTGTTACATAGGTAAGAGTGTATCATGGGGGTTGTTGTGCAGATTATTGCATCACCCATGTCTTAAGCCTAGTATCCATTAGTTATTTTTCCCTATCTTCTCCTTCCTCCCACTCTCCACCCTCTAACAGGCCCCAGTGTGTGATGTTCCCCTCTATGTGTCCATGTGTTCTCATCATTTAGCCCCCACTTATTTTATGTGAGAACATGTGGTATTTGGTTTTGTCTTCCTGTGTTAGTTTGCTAAGGATAATGGCCTCCAGCTCCATCCATGTCCCTGCAAAGGACATAATCTCATTCTTTTGTGCGGCTGCATAGTATTCCATGGTGTGTCTGTACCACACTTTCTTTATTCAGTCTGTCATTGAGGTTGATTCCATGTCTTTGCTATTGCAAATAGTGCTGCAATGAACATATGCATGTATGTGTCTAAGATGGATTCAAGATTTAAATGTAAAAACTCAAAACCATAAAAACCCTGGAAGACAGCCTAGGCAATGTCATTCAGGACATAGGCATGGACAAAGATTTCATGACAAGATGCCAAAAGCGATTGCAACCAAAAGTTGACAAATGGGATCCAATTAAACTAAAGAGCTTCTGCATAGCACAGCACAGCAAAAGAAACTATCAACAGAGTACACAGAAAACCTATAGAGTGGGAGAAAATTTTTTGCAAACTGTCCATCTGACAAAGGTCTAATATCTAGCATCTATAAGGAACTTAAATTTACAAGAAAAAAATCCCATTAAAAATGGGTAAAGGACATGAACAGATACTTCTCAAAAGAAGACATACATGTGGCTGACAAGCGTATGAAAAAATCTCAACATCACTGATTATTAGAGAAGTGCAAACCCAAACCCAAACCACAATGAGATACCATCTCACACCAGTCAGAATGACTATTATTAAAAAGTCAAAAAATAACAGATGCTGGCGAGGTTGTGGAAAAAAAGAAAAGGAATGCTTATACACTGTTGGTGGGAGTGTAAATTAGTTCTACCATTGTTGAAGATAGTGTGGTGATTCCTCAAAGACCTTAAGACAGAAATACCATTAGATCTAGCAATCCCATCACTGGGTATATACCCAAAGGAATACAAGCAGGTTTTTAAAGGCAAAAAGGAAAAAGGAGTGGGCTGATATTAAATTATTTGACAGGCTTTCTCACTGGCTTGTAGGGAAAGTATTGATTAGTAGTTGTCTGTACATTGTTGAACTCTAGGGTATGAGTTATGGTGTCCAGAGCATGGTGTTGTTAGGTTAGTTTTATAGATGCTTGGCACCAGTCTAGAGTGCACATAGCAAGTGGCTTCAAGAGATAATTACTTAGCTCAAGAGGGGAATGAGACATGATTGCTGTCACATTTCAATGCTTCTCTGGGCTTGATAATTTAAGAGGGCTAGCATTAGTCAGATAAAAAGTTAGAGCAGCCAAAATTTTATTAATCTTATTAGTAAAGACAACAGAGAGAGATGTTATTATTTAACATTGTTAAAAAGGCAATATTATTATATCTCACACAAAATTTAGAGAAATACACTTCTCAGAAAAAATGCATAATAGGTACTTTTGTAATGTAACTGCAACTAAACCCCTGGAGATCAGGTACCATGTCTTAAAAGTTTGCATTCGATTTCTTAGTTTAATACACCTAAGAGTTTTAAATTCTTTTACCAAATTTAAACTTTGTTTTACAGATCATTACAGTTGTGAGCTTCCTGTAATTTTTCAGGAATCCAAAAATTGAGGGATAGATAGCCAATTTCTCCTGAGTTACTGGGCTCAGAGACTGACAAGATATCACAATTTGCTATCCACCAAGAAACCTTGCGCCAGAAGAGTTCACAATGCTGACTCTTGTTAGGAATTCCGAAAATAAAAGTATTGGGATGATAGGCACCAGCGTGTAAAAGATTTCAGAAGTG
Source organism: Homo sapiens (assembly GCF_000001405.40). Classification (NCBI taxonomy): domain Eukaryota; kingdom Metazoa; phylum Chordata; class Mammalia; order Primates; family Hominidae; genus Homo; species Homo sapiens. The sequence continues at coordinate 104,435,105 of NC_000006.12, read as the reverse complement.
GAACAACCTCATGGTCAGCATACCCAGGGACGTAGATGTACCTGGGGCACTTCAGGCTCAGGAATAGTAAATAATGGCCATAAGTTTGTACTTAGATATTGTCATCATCTTTGAGCCTTGTTTTCTGAACGATCTCAACTGTATGCTTCTCCCAGAACACAAACCCAGTTTGTTTCCTCTGGCTGTCAGTCCCTTTTCCCTGTAGCCCACAAGGTGAACTAATCCTTTATGTGTCAGCTTAAATATCTGACATTTGTCTTCAGGCTTTCATCACCCCTCTGCCTGTAGCTGGGCAGTCTTCCCACAGACTCCCACACCACTTTCTACCTGCCCACTCTGCACTGTGCTGTCATTATTTGCATATAAGATCATGGTGTGAACCATGTGTTATTCATGGACCATGTGTTATTCAAATGAAGGCACTTTGTTTCCAGTGCCTGGAGTCTAAGTACGTTAATGTATATTTATGGAATGGGTGAGAATAATTAAAATCACACTGGGAGGTTGTGTGGCAGAGAAGAAAGAACCTTGGAATGATGGGATACACTGGCTATGTAGGTTCGTATCTGTATGACCTTGGAAGTTATTTAACTTATCTGAACCTTAGTTTCTGTGTATTCAAAATGAGAGTAATAATTCTCACCAAGTTAGATGGGAATGAAATATAGGGATTACATGAAGGAACAGAGGTGAAGATACCAGAATTTCAGCACACAGTGACATTTTCTTCTCCTTTGTTCCTTCCTCCTTCCCATCCCCAGAAAGGCTTGAGATTCTGTTTTTTTCATTAGTGTGCAAGGATAAGGACCAGGTACATATCTGCAATGCTTGTCTGTGGGTCTGTGCACACACACATATACACAAAGGCACTTTTCCATGCACTTTGTTACAGAGACTATTTCCACCTTGCATCCTTTTGATAACATTTATAACAGGATTTCAACACTAACTTCAACATTAGCTGGAAAGTTCACTAATTTATAGTACCGTTTGGGATGCAAAATAATTTTTGGGGAAGCATCAAGAATTATTTTGAAAATCAAGATTCTTTGAATATTTGTCCCACATATGCCTTTCTCACAGAACACAGTGTCCTAATACTTTTGCCAATAGCCATTCTTCATTTTAGCATTTTCATTATGCATTCTGATTTTTAACCTTGAAGGTTTTTAATGGAGCCATATAAATTTGCCTCAAGATGACATGAAATATTACCAGATCTCATCTATATAAGTTCTTATCACCTAAGCAGATATTATTTTTGGTAAAACCTAGGAACATGTTACCCAAGTTAAGTCAAGTCAATGCTTATGCTGATAGCATAAGATTTTTAAAATTGTATTTCTGCATTCTAATTAAACTGGGTGGGAACTATTTGTTGCTGAGAGTTTAGTTATTAAAGATGCTGGCTGCTACGCTTAACCTTCATGTCCTTTTAGACATGTGATCTAAGAAAATTTATTAAAAAATTTCTCAGCCTCATCAGTTCATGATAAGCTGTCTTTCAGCCAGGCTTTAACCCTCATTTGAAACTTCTTTATTGTCAAGTTCTTATGCACTGAAATATAGCTCTCTTGGATTGCAAATTTTATTCTTTCAAATATCTATCTCTTTAATTTCCTCTTACCTGACTTTTATCTTATTGGAATCTCCAATTTTGCAGCTCTTTCCACATCTCTCAGTTAATTCCCCTGTATTGACAGCAATTACCTCTTCTCTCTACCTGGATCCCATGGGCAGCCATTTCCTTTGTATTTGCTCTTATATCTTTCCCTTCCTCCTTGTTCTTCTGTCAATTCTGTCTTTGATTCTCCAACTCTGGGTAATTGCCACTGCCCACTTTCCCTGAGAGAGAACCTACTCATTCTTTCATTCATTCAGTACGTATTTATTCAGATCCTTCTATGTGCCAAACATGGTGCCCGATGTTAGAACATAGTAGCAAGAATTTCTGCGTTCTTGAAGTTTAACATTTAGTGGGGAGATTACTATATATTCATGTGACTACTCCCACCCTGAAACCCTACTGCTACTCCACAGTCCTTTTGCTTATAGCTAGAAGGTTTCCTCTGGCCTCCATCTAGATTATGGTTAACAGCATTCCCAGAGAACTTGATTAAAGAAATGCAGTGTTAGGTCTGGTACTGAATAGATATCTGCACCTTATTAAAAAACTAAGGTGATTTTTATGCATATTGGAGTTGGAGAAACACTTTTTGATGGAAATCCCCTTAGCAAAGATTCTCATAGTTCTCCACTTCTTTCAGGCTTTTACTGAGATTACTTTCTTAATTTTAATGGAGGACCCTGCTTTTTATGCTGACAAGATGTTTCAAACCCTTTGGTATGAGTTCCTTCACTTTCCTCCTGTTTACCTGAAGAGCTCTGTCTATATTGTGACTTCCCCTTCTTACCTTCTTAACTCATGGTCTGCCTCTTGCATAGGCAAATGTTCTCTTTGACCTCTTGTTGTTATTTCCTCTTTGCTTTGTCACAAACTTACTCATTGTAAGAAAAAGTTACTCATTTTCTTTACCTACATTTGCCATTTCTCCATTCTTCAAAGCTGTCGCTCCTTGTCTTCTAGATAGGACACCTTTCTCTCACACTGAAAATCTTCCCTTGATCCTTCTACTCTTCAAGCTATGATTCCATATCTGCATTGCTCTTCACTATGAGAGAAGTCTTGCATCATTTCCTTTATTTCTTCACCACCAATTAACTTTTAGCTCCTTGAAATCTAGATTCTTCCTCTACCCTCTCTATTAAAACAAATCTTCTGGCAGTCAAAAGTGGACCTCTGATTGCCCCATCTGGTTCTTGATTCTCATCTCCTCCTCCCTATGTGGGATCACCTTCAATGAAGCTGCTTACACTTTTTTTTTTTTTTTTGAGACAGAGTCTCACTCTGTTTCCTAGGCTGGAGAGCAGTGGTGCAGTCTTGGCTCACTGCAACCTCCACCTCCCAGGTTCAAGCAATTCTCCTGTCTCGGCCTCCCTAGTAGCTGGGATTACAGGCATGCACCACCACTTCCAGCTAATTTTTGTATTTTTTGTAGAGATGGGGTTTCACCATGTTTGCCAGGCTAGTCTCAAACTCCTGACCTCAGGTGATACACCCACCTCAGCCTCCCAAAGTGCTGGGATTAGAGGTGTGAGCCACCATGCCCGGCTGTATCTTTTCTTTGGCATCTATCAAAGCCAACCTGACCCCTTGCCTCTCTGAATTGATAAAAGAACAACCTTAGACAAATTAAATTTAACAGAGTTTAATTGAGCAAAGAAAGATTCATGAATCTGGCAGCCTCCTGAGCCAGAGTAGGCTCAGAGACACTCCAGTGCAGCCATGTGGGGTATATTAGTCTGTTCTCAGGCTGCTGATAAAGACATACTTGAGCTTGGGTAATTTATAAAGAAAAAGAGGTTCAATGGACTCACAGTTCCACATGGCTGGGGAGGCCTCACAATCATGGCAGAAGGTGAAAGGCATGTCTTATATGGTGGCAGGCAAGAGAGAACTTGTGCAGGGGATCTCCCTTTTATAAAACCATCAGATCTCGTGAGACTCACTCACTATCATTAGAACAGCATGGGAAAGACTCCCCACTGTGATTCCTTTGCCTCTCACTGGGTCCCTCCCATGACACATGGGAATTGTGGGAGCTACAATTCAAGATGAGATTTGGGTGAGGACACAGCTAAACCATATCACGGTGGAAGAAGATTTATGGACAGAAAAAGAAAAGTGATGTACAGAAAGTGGAATTGAGGAACAGAAACTGCCATATAGGTGACAGCTCAGTGTTTGCCTTATTTGAACACAGTTTGAACAGATGGCCACTTGTGAGTGGTTGAAACTCGATGATTGGCACAAGAGTAGGTTACAGTCTGTTTACACATCCAGTTAGGTACGGTTCATTATGTAGGGAGAGATCTTTAGGTTGAACTTAAAATATGTAAGGAAACAGCTTTAGGCTAAACTTAATTCAACAGAACACTTCCTTTTGAAATCCTTTCTGTCCTTTTTTTCCTCCTTGTAACCACTAAATATAAGCTTTTATTTCTTTTAAGTGAATTTTGTTGAGGTATAAATTACATATAACGAAGTGTTCCTGTTTAAATTGTACAGTTCTATGAGTTTTGGCAAATGTGTATACCTGGGTAGCCACCACTACAATCCCACTAGAGAACATTTTCACACTTGATCTTAGCCAAAAGGTCAAGAAGTGATAGGGAACATGTCCATCATCTCAAAAGTTTCCCTTGTGCCTTTTGTGGTCCATTTTCCCCCACCCTGGCCAAGCACAGATCTGCTTTCTGTCACTACAGATTTGTGTGCCTTTTGTAGAATTTTATATAAATGGAATCATACCTATGTACTCTTTTTTTCTTTGGATTCTTCCAGTCAGCATACTTATTTTGCAATTCATCTAAGTTATCCCGTGTGTTAGTAGTTCATTCCTTTTTACTACCTAGTGGTATTCTATTCTATCCATATACCACAATAATTTTTTATCCAAATGTAAGCGTTTTTCAGGGCCATCTTCTTTCACTTATCTTTCTTTCAGAAATCTTATTTACTTTCATAACAGCAGACATCATCTCCTTTCATATGGCTTCTCAATCTCTATTGCTCACCTTTGCTTACTTCATGAATTTTAGAATTTTATTTAAAGCTGTGTGCTCAACATCTGTTTCTAGGTTGCTCACTAGCAATTTAACCTTACTGTTTCCAAACTAGAACTCCTTTTCTTTTCCGTAAAGTAATTTCTATCTGGTACCTTGCCCTTATTGTTTCTCTTAATGGTACCTTGTCCTTTCTGTTACCCAGGCAAAGTATGTCCACTTTGCCTAAAAAATTGACTTGACTTTCAAACTCTGCTTGTTCTGTTTTTTGTTATCTCATATCCATCTCTCTCTTTTCTTTTTTTTTTTTTTTTAAGACAGAGTCTTGCTCTGTCGCCCAGGCTGGAGTGCAGTGGCGCGATCTTGGCTCACTGTAAGCTCTGCCTCCTGGGTTCATGCCATTCTTCTGCCTCAGCCTCCCGAGTAGCTGGGACTACAGGTGCCCGCCACCACGCCCGGCTAATTTTTTTGTATTTTTAGTAGAGTCGGGGTTTCACTGTGTTAGCCAGGATGGTCTCGATCTCCTGATTTCGTGATCCGCCCGCCTCGGCCTCCCAAAGTGCTGGGATTACAGGCTTGAGCCACTGCGCCTGGCCCCATCTCTCTCTTTTCTGTTCCTCCTGCCTTCATCTTATTTCAGGTGTTTTTTGAAAATTCTTCTTTCTCCATTTCTGTTTATCCTCTTCCCAGGGTCCACACTTATTTTGCTAAGGGATGGATCTCATGATATTATATCCTGTACAAAAACCTTGTGGTCCTTCCACTTTTTCCTGGAACAAGTGTTAATAGTAGGCCAGACATATAACATTCATAATGTGTGGCTACAAGTGCTTGCTAAGCTGTGGCAAAACATTCGGTATATAAAGGAACTAAAGCAGGCATGATAAGTGGTCTGCAGTTTCTCCCTTGGTCTTGAACCTTGCCCCCTTCTCTGCTTCTCTCTTTAGGTTATCTTCCATGACTCAGGAAGCTCACCTAAAGAACAACTAAAAGTCTTGCAAAAATGGGTAAGTACTGTTCTTAGAGTTGTAGGAATGGGTTTGCACCAATGATCCTGAACAAGAGGCGTGAAAAAACAAAAAACAACAGACTTCCAATCTATTTCAGTCTGTCCCTGTTGCAATAACAAAATACCTAAGACTGAGCAATTTATAAATAATAGAAATTTATTTCTCACAGTTCTGGAGGAACTGGGGGATGGAAGTCCAGGATCAAAGTGCCAAGAGGTTCAGTGTCTCTCTGCTTTTAAGATGGTGACTTGTTGCTGTGTCCTTTGGAGAAGAAGATGGATGCTGTGTCCTTACATGGTAGAAGGGACAGAAGGGCATAAAAGGGTCTAGCTATTTACCTCCAGCCCTTTTATAAGGCACTAACTTCGTTGATTAGAATAAAGTCCTCATGGCCTAATTATCTCCTAAAGGCCTCTTTTCTTATACTTTTGCATTGGGGATTAAGTTTCAACATAAATTTTGGGGTAAACACAAACATTCAAACCATTAATTCTGTAGCACTGACAGAGAAACACTTTTATCTGAACCAAATCACAAGAACACATAGCCTACACATAGCCTCTCTTCTCTTCACTCTATGAAACTCCAAGTCTTCTACCAGGAAGTTACCTGATCTTCAGGTGTTTTGTGATGCACATCAATGGAATCCTTTTTAACTGCTCTTTTAATTATAGAACTATTTTTTTTTTGAAAGGCAAAACTCTCCCGTGGTACTTTGGAAGGCAGATCACCTGCCTCTGCAGCTGATGGTTCTAGGAGAAGTGACTAGAAAAGGTAGTATGTTGCGTTTTGGCTGCTTTTTGGTTTTTGTAGAAACTACTGCATAAGAAGGCTCAGTTCAAGTAAGGGCTGGCCATTTTGCAGGTGGAGATGGGAAGCAATAGAAATTTGTTAAGAGAGGCTCTCTCTCCCTATGGCCTACAATCTAAAAGGAGTGGGAGCTCAGCAGTTTTAAACAAGCCAACTTCTTTTGTCCACCAAACAGCAAGCAAACAGATTGTTGCCTAGGGATTTCTAGCAGGAAAGATCAGGTTAAAGGTACTGGCCAGCCTATTGTTTCAGATGGTTATGGGACAGCTTCCATGAAACTGAGGAAGAGAACGATGGAATAAACACAGAAGTCAGTGACTGACAGAGGAGAGTGTAAGCTTAAAACCCAGAAGAGAGCTCTGCCTGTGTTTACTTTTGCACAGAACTGACTGAAAAGCAAATAGATTAGAAAGCTAGTATGTTTTGGGGGAAACTGTATTGCCAAAGTAACCAATGATGGGCCTGGAAATTCTGTGATGTTTCAATACCTAACACAACTAATGGGTTTCCTAAACTGTATGAAGAGGAAATAGTCTAAAAATTGTGTAGTTCTCAAGCAGAGCATATTCTCCAACACCCAGTGTGTATAGGGCCATGGTGAAAGTGGAGAAAGAAAATCTTCAGAGCAGATGTTGGCCAACTGTGGCCCTCAAACTAGATAAAATAAAAATAAAAATAAAAATAAAAATAAATTATAAATAGATCTGGGTCTTATTTTCTGTGGCCTGGGAGCTAAGAATGGTTTTTACAGTTTGAAAAAATTATAAAAGATAAAAGAAAATAATAAGAAAGGAAAGATATGCAGCAGATACTATATGGAGCTCATGAAGTCTAAAATATTTCTTTTATGGCCCTGTAAAAACAAATAAAGTTTAGCAACCCCTGTCCTAGAGAACAAAGCCAAGGACCCTGGGCAATGACCAATTAGTTACTTCAAGAGAACAAAACAAGGGACTGTGGAAAGGAACAATCGAGGAACTTAGGTCATGGATGTTGCAGAGAGTATCTGTGGTTCCTATCAAGGAGGATTTGATAGTTGCCATGATTGGTTGATCCTCTATTCTTCCCTTTTCCATATGGGAGTGATTAGTATGGTTTTTCTATTCCATTGCTCTTTATTTGCTTATTAGATGTTGGGAAGCAGATACCTTGTCATTTGGTTTATAGGTCCCTAGAGATTGACAAGGTACATCTAAACATTACGAGAAGGACAGCATATCACCCCCAGAATGTGGGCTCTCAACTGGCTGCAATGTCAGAATGGGTTTTGAGTTACCTCTTTGGGTCAGGGGGTGAGTGTGTTCTGTATGCAGGAACAAGGGTTAACATGGAAACTTGATTGGCCAGAGGTTTATTGAGTACTATTCAGTGTCAGTTCTCCACTTTTTCCTCTTGAATATGGAACTGTCTGTGTTTTTGCTGGGCACGTGGTTGCACAGATAGAGAGACTACCTCTGCCAGCCTCCCTTGCAGCTAGGAACAGCCATGCAAATAAACTATAGATTATGGGGTGTGAGTAGAAGTAACAGTACATCTTTAACTTTGCCACTTAGAGAGGATTGTTTGCTGTGGACTTCTATTTCCTCCTTCCTTCTGGCTGAAAAATGTCAAAGTCTGGAGCAACCATGGAATTCATGAGTTAGGAAGATGGAGTTTCTCTGCTAGCCCTAGACCCTCCCCTATGGTCTCCTACAGGAAGAAGAAGTATTTAATGTCAATAAGTTCTCAGTCTGAATTCCTACTTTGCCAATTACTAGCTGTGTGACCTCAGGCAAGAAACAACTTCTCTAAACCTATTTCTTCATTTATAAACTAAGCAAAACAACATCTATTTACAGGGTGTTCTAATAATTAAACTTATGTATATATAGGAATTTTTAATTATATGAAGTAAATCACAGCCATTATTTCATCTGTAAGAATTTCAGTTGTGTGTTACTAAAAGATGAGAACTTTTGCTAAAATACAACCATGATACCATTACGACAGTCCCTCAAATTGACAAAAAAATTCTTAAAATCAAGTATCTTCTCAGAGTTTAAATTTCATGTTGTCTCACAAAAATGTCATTTTATGAGTTTATTTTGGAAAAAAGTTATAAATTATATATAATAAAAAATTGCCAAACAGATAATTTACAAAAAAGTAGCTTTTTAAAAATTTCAGCCCCACAAAGTGGAGGCATTGTTTCTTTGTATTGGTGGAATGAAAGATTCCACATGTTATTCTCTTAGCAACTTGGGTTATGACAATTCATCAAGATGTGTAGTAAGTTTCCTGTCAGCGATCACAACAGAGATTCACTGCTGAAATCCCTACACATAGTTTCTTTCTGTTTAAATAATTTAGTTGTTGCCTGCTGCATATATGGCTTCATCGCTTCTCATCATCTTTAAAGATGACATTGGAGATATTGTTAGTTCCCTGTGGCATATTTCTACTGTTGGTAAGATTAAGGTTTGAAATCATTATCAAGAGAATGGATTGCATTTTGCACTTTCTGCCTTTACCCTGAGTATATCTTTGCTCTCTGAAGGCATGTCCAGGGCACCTCTTCAAGGGGTAGTTCAGAGGTAGGCTCTAGGGGTGGGAAATACAGGAAGCAGAAGATGTGGCCCCTTCTCCCTAGGAGCTCATTCCCTAGCTGGGGAGAAAACATACACATAGAAAATGACATAAAACCAATAAAAGCATCACATTCACAACTGCAAAAGTGAAGGACAGACAGAGTTCATGAGTCTTGATAGGGTACAGCACCCTGGAGAGATCAGAATCAGGTGGGTTTAATCGAAGAAGGCTTTTGGAATAGGTAATCTTGAATTCAGTTTGGAAGGAGCTGATAGACATAAATTTGAGTTGAATGAAAAAGGCATTCTAGGTGAGAGAAAAAAAACAGAAGCAGAAACAAGGAGTCATTAGTGGGGACTGAGTTTCAAATGAGAGGGGCTTGGATTAATGAGTTTTTATTGCATTGGTTTGATGCTAATATAGAATGTATGTTAAGGAAAACATGAGCCATGAATGGATATGACTTATGCAAATTTTAAAAACTATCACTTCACTATTATAGAACTTTTCAAATGTTTCTGACTGCAGGAATTATTATTGTGTAGGCATAGATGTTCTGCAAGCAAAGACAAGGCAAGCATAATAACCTCTAAAATGAAACAGGCACAACATCTGGGGTAGCATATGGGCATAGCATGGAGGAAGCTGACTTGGGCGTAAGTTTAAAAAACAAATTCCAATCTATATGTGCCAGTTGGTAGCTGATAGAATTTTCTCTGCTCATCCAGGAAGTATACAACAGTAATAGAGCCATAGACATGTTGGGCTCTGGGTGTGACTGTAATTCAAATGGAGGCAAAGAAAGTCTAAGTTGCTCTGTGTGTCAGGAGTTAATAATAATGATTCTAATTTATAATTCTTGTAATTGGTACATACTTTTTGTTATTCACCTGATTTTCACTGAGAAGCTATTGGGTTCACTAATCAATTGCACTTGTATGAGATTTCAGTTCTGAAGTAAGCAATGCTGAGGAAGAGGTTTATGTGCATCCATTTTGCTGGCAAAGGAGAAAGCAACAGCATTGGAGTTTTGCACACAGTGGTGCCTGCAAAACTTAGTCTCTGTCAGAAGTGGTACCAGTACTGTCCTTGCAGTAGAGTTGAATTAGTGGTAGGAATTCAGACTGTTGCATGTGGTCGAAGTGTGAACGAAATGGTAGTTGCCTAAGGCTGTTCTTAAGAGCTGGTTTGGGGCAGTATTTCCGGGAGCTTTGGCCTCAACCTGGTTCTTCAGCCCTTCCAAAGATTCTGTCAACTACTCAATTTTTAAAAACAATTTTTTTTCTGTATTATTCACCAGAATTAACTTCTAATGCTTGCAACTAGGAATCTCGATGTAGAAACTAGAGGGAGAGAATTTCAGGAGGTGTAGTCCTTTGGGGTTTTGTTAAAGACAGACAGGTAAAAGTGTTCATATTGTTACAGAGGCAGAGGCTAAACAGCAAAATTGTGAAGAGCAAAAAGTTTTGAAGAAAAGTGGCTTTAAGTAAGACAGACGCTTGTGGGGGAGGAAAGTTAAGGGAAACATAGAACACGGAAGGAGACAATGCTACTAGACCCAACAAGATATATATGTGTGTTGCAGGGAAGGTGGGTGGGTCCAAGGGGCATGTGTGGAAGGAGTAACATTAGAGAGACTGGGAAAAAATTTTCCTTCCTTCCTTCCTCCCTCCCTTCCTCCTTCCCTTCCTTCCTCCTGCCCGCCCTCCCTTCCTTCCTTCCTTCCTTCCTCCTTCCCTTCCTTCCTCCTGCCCGCCCTCCCTTCCTTCCTTCCTTCCTCCTTCCCTTCCTTCCTCCTGCCCGCCCTTCCTTCCTTCCTTCCTTCCTTCCTTCCTTCCTTCCTTCCTTCCTCCTTCCCTTCCTCCTTCCCTTCCTTCCTCCTGCCCGCCCTTCCTTCCTTCCTTCCTTCCTTCCTCCTTCCCTTCCTTCCTCCTGCCCGCCCTCCCTTCCTTCCTTCCTTCCTTCCTTCCTTCCTTCCTTCTTCACTCATCTCTCCCTCCCTTCCTTCCTTTTCTCTCTTACTCCTTTCATGTCTCGTTTCCTCCCCCTCTTCCTTCCTTCCTTCCAAAAGAAGAGCGAGGAAGAGAAGAAATTGGGATGATGAGATGGTCATGTGGAGAAATCATAAAATTATGAGAGAGGGAAGTGGAGGAAACACAATAATATATAGAATGTAAGAGGATATGCAGGGGTGGTTTTGAGGGTTTGTGGGGAGAGAAATTTTAGGAATTTGTGCAATGAAAATGATGATAGTTAACTAAATGAATAAAAAGTTGCTGAGTGGCAACATGTTGCAATTGAGGTCATGGAGTGTGAATGTGAAGTGGCATCACTTAGCCAAGCCTTAAGATTTTCTAGCAACCCTAAGAAGTCTATGGCCAGGGATGGGGGAGGAGCCCATGGGTCTGGGCACTGCATCTATTGTTAGCAGTATGGTTTACTTAAGATTTGAGATTGGCAATGCTGGGGAAGCCTAAAGAGTAAAAGCAATGTTGAATGTTTCCCGTTTCCTAGAAGTTCTCTTTATCTTTTCCACTCCCCTGTCCTCCCTATTATATTTGCCTGCAATGTCTTAAAATACCCTTAGTAAATTTTTTTCAGTTTTTACCCAATTTCTCTCTCTTTTTCTCTTCCAGTTCACCTTCCATCACTTCTGCTTGTCACTTCATCATATATCTGCCTTGGGCTCCTGCTATTCTTCTTCTCTTGCTAATTCCTCATCCGTTGGCCTTCTCCCTAAAGTTTATTTGATTTTTCTCTTCCACTTTCTCAACTTTTATCTGTTTGTTTTTAATCAACTTACATGCTTTGTTGTCTTACATTTCAAACTTTCTAGTCCTCCAGGCTTTATCCTCTAACTTTTCCTTTTTTTTTCTTTCTTTCTTTCTCTCTTTCTTTTTCTTTCTTTCCTTTCTTTCTTTCTTTCTTTTTTTTCTTTCTTTCTCCTTCCTTCCTTTCTTTTTCTTTCTTCTTTTTTCTTTCTGTTTTTTTGTTTTTTAAATCAATGCCTTTCTTTCCTTTTTCCTACTATGCATTTTAGCCCACATTCTGGACTTATCCCTCCCCATTCTAAGGGACTTCAGGCCATCACTTTTCCATATTCTTTGCCATTTCCCACTTATTCTCTTCTTAGTTGCTCTTTGGCTTCCAGACTTGTTTTATTTCTAACTCAACTCAACCTAGTACAATAGTACTTCTTAGTCTAGGTAGGTCACAAATGAATATATGACCCCTCCCTGTTAATAAGACTGTTTGGAGTGGGATATGGGGGAAAACAGCAACAGTAATAAACTTTAACCCGTCATTACTTAGCCTTCAAATCTAAATGCTTCTGCTAAATTTTTAAGTTCTTCCATGCTTTGGCCATGCTTCATCTCTACAGTCTTATTCTTCATCATTCAAACCTCCTTTAGTCAAATGAGTATCTTCACTAACCAATGAATGTGCAATCTTAATTCCTAAATTCTTGCTGTTGTTCATATTATTTGTTTGCAATTACATAGTATCTGCGTTAGTTTGCTGAGGCCATTACAACAAAGCACCACTGACTAGGTGGTTTAAATAACAGAAATTCATTCTCTGAAAATTCTGGAGGCTGGAAGTCTAAGATCAAGGTGTTGGCAGAGTTGGTTTGGTTTCTTCTTAGGCCTCTCCTCTTGGCTTGTAGATGATTGTTTTCCCCCCCATATTTTCACATGATCTTTACTCTGTGTATGTCTGTGTCCTAATCTCTTCTTCTTATAAGGACATCAGTCATATTGGATGAGGGCCAACCTTAATAAACTCATTTGAACTTAATAACCTCTGTAAAGCCCTGTCTCCAAATGCGGTCACATCTGGAAATATTGGGGGTTAGGACTTCAACAATGAATTTTGAGGAGGCACAATTCAGCTCATATAGTATTCTAACTATTTTCTTGTGTGTTAGTTTACTTTGATCAATTGTAGAGGAAGCTCTTTGAGAACAGAGCTTATATTTTTAAATTCTGTATCATCCACAACATCTAGAATGGTTTTGAGTACATAGTGGGCATTTAACATGGTTGCTTTTTGAATTATATGCCTCCTATGGCATAATTCACATTATATTTTTAAAGCCTACTTAAAATATAAATTTTGCTCTGAGATTAAATGACCAAGAGGCCTGCTATCATTTATTCCATGCACCAATGATCTGTGCAACATTTCCTCCGGTGTCTTCCTGAGTTGGCAGGAGCCAGCCATTCATTTAAATTGGCAACAGACACGGAAATGAATTTGTGTGCTGTCTTACTTGGCAATAAAACTTAAAGTGCAGGGTAATTTGTGACGGTTTGAAGCAGTAATGCAATTTTGGCAAGTCTGCTATATCTCTACAAGACTTACAGTTCGAGCATTTTCAAGCCAGTAGGTTATAGACTCTCCTAAAAACAATTGATTGAAACTACCTGTTTCTGGACTTAATCCAATTCTTATTGGAATAAGCAAGGCATAGGTTAAATTTTTGGTTGAAGTTTTCAGCATCAGACCAAGCTGGCCTTTTTATATAATTTTTTTTTCTGGTTTGTTTTCATCACCACATATAACACTTCCTCTCCTAATTTAAGAGCTAGAAGATAATAAAAAGTGTATCCAATTGTAGTTGAGTTTGGAATTGAAACAGTGAAGAAAATAACCTGTGACCCAAGGAAAAAAGTGATGGGAAAAAGAACATAAAATTATTTCACCTTTCCAACTTTCTCTACAGAAATCATGCTCACATTCTTGAATATGTAAATATAAAGCAGTTGGATGTCAGCATGCTAGATTTAATAGCTTTTCAATAGCTAGCTCTATCTGGAGTTTTAAACCAGGGAAGTAAATATTTCTATATATAATATCCCCCATCCCAGAGTTAATTTCAATAAAGCGAATTCTAAAAAAAAATCTGAATTTATCTTTGTTCCTTCCTTCTAATAAAGCTTTTTCTTAACTTATTCCCAGGCTTTCTATTCTGTTGGTGTCTTCAGGTCTAACGATCATTCTTAAAATGATTTATGGCTTCAAAGTTGCAAACCAAGTTTACTAGAATCCATCTTTTCCTGCTGGATAAAATATATTAGACTCCCCTGACACCTTCATGTGTTCATCAAAAGCGGTAGATTTATTAGCCACCTCCATAGTAGTAACTCCCAGTGACAGAGTAGTTCTGCTAGAAGTCTCTTCTGGGAGGTTTACCAAAGAGAGCATGCAAATCTTACTTGATTTAATTGGACTCCTATAAAAGCTGTCATTATATTTTCAAGGGATTTGCTTTATCAGGGAGTTGAAAAAGTCATAATTTTCATCAGGGAAAATAACTTGGTCAATACTTTCTTTCCTCCCAGTTGATGAACTACTTTTCTGCTTTATCCCCTTAGCTTCTTCCTTGCCAATGCTTTTTCACATCCCCATCCTTGCAACTGTCTGTTACATTGCCCTGAATATCCTCAAACGTTGAATAATCCAACCATCCTAGGTTACTCTTCCTTCTCTCTCATTTCTGGAGAAAATTAGACACCCATCAGATTAGTGCAATTTTAAACATTCCTATTGGAAACTCCTAGAATCAAGCTATTAACCAGAAATTCCGCAGTCAATACTTGAGTTGCTTTTCTCCCATTTGCTAGAGTAATAATTAGAAAATTTCATCTAATTTTGCTGCACTCTTACTCTAACCCTGACCCTAACTCTCTCATACCCACTCATTGATCTTGCTTCCTACTTCAGATAGAAAAACAGAGGCTATCGAATATGAACTGCATGTACTACTCACCTCCACTGATGGCTGGCCTCGCTTCCTGCCCATCACTAGGAACCATAGTCCTTCTATAAAAGCTCTACCATCATTTTGTGCTTCACATTCTCCTCTCCCTCATCTTTTAAAGATGTTGCTCTTTCATTTAATCCTATTTCTGGTCCGTCTTCAGTCTCTCTCTCTCTTCAGTGCTACAGATTCCCTTACTTTGGTCTAGGCAAGTCACTCTTGCCTGTAGTAGACAATAAGCCTATTCACAAATAGTGATATTTTCTATCCATTCATAATTTATGGTTGTACTTCCTGTTCCCCTCAAAGTTGTATATAGCCATGTGACTTGCTTTGGCCAGTAATAGTTGAGTGGTGGTGATGAGTTTCACTGATGGCTGGAAGCTTTATGAGCTCAGGTGATACAGCCTCTACACTCCTGGGTCCTTGAAGGGTTATGGTGAAAAGAACAGGTTCCTGCTGACCTGAATTGGACTTGTAATGTATAGGAGAAATCTAGCTTCAGAATTTTGGGGTTGTTTATTACTGTAGAATAACTTAACCTAGCCTGGCAAGTACAGTCTTCCTTCCTAAAAATAACTTTCCTGAGACTCTGCTTACATTTGCTTATATACATTTATTTTTTTCTTAAC
This sequence comes from Homo sapiens, assembly GCF_000001405.40. Taxonomy (NCBI): domain Eukaryota; kingdom Metazoa; phylum Chordata; class Mammalia; order Primates; family Hominidae; genus Homo; species Homo sapiens. The sequence continues at coordinate 104,419,695 of NC_000006.12, read as the reverse complement.
AACAGCTTTTCATGAAAGAAACTTAACTTTATTAACTTTTCCACTTCTCTTTGATTCCTTAGTCCTATTAAATGTTTTCTGACCCCACCACTTTATCAGAACCATTCTTGCTAAAACTGCCAATAACTTCATTTTCAGATTCAGTGGACTGATTTTATTACCTTACTTGACCTCGTGTAGCATGTAGCACTGCTGACCTTTAGAAACCTTCCATAGTACCATTCACCCTTCATTGTCTTCTTTCTTTTCCTGCCACCTTTTGCTTTTCACGTGGCCTCTCTTCTACTATTTGCTGCTAATGTTGGTGTTCCTTAGCATTCGGCTTTCTCTACCTCTAGACACTCTCATCTCTCTTGTCGTATAGGTTCAATAAATAACTACTATTTAGCTATGATTCCAAATCTATATGCAATAAAGAAAATATGTTACAAAATTAAGCTAAGCCATTTTGATTTTCACCATTAAAACATGAACTTTTCTTTCCCATCTTAATTATGCTGAAGCCATTTCTTTGATAATGAGGGAGAGTCACTCTTACATAACGAGCTTTTCCAAACATTTTTAATTGTGAGTGGAGCAACAGCCTCTTTCCCTATGGTCTGTTAGAAAAAGAGGGCTGGCAGCACTTTGGGAGGCCAAGGTGGGGGGATCGCTTCAGCCCAGGAGTTTGAGACCAGCTTGCGCAATATAGTGAGACCCCATCTTTACAAAAAAATGCATTTCTATAACAACAACAAAATAAATAAATAAAGAAAAAGAGGCCTGGTATTTTATGTGTTTGCATAAAAATGGGCTTGAAAGCCAAGTTATATATATAAAGGGTGGATTTGCTAAATTACTTTTAAACAAAAGGAGTTAAACACAAAGGAATCAGATTATTGAATTCTCCTCCTGGTGTAACAAATACTCTCCCATCTATTCTAATCTATTCCAAGGCTTAGGCAGGAGGCTGAGCCAAGGAGAAGGATCACACATATAGGAAGAGCTTTTTATTCTTTCTTAAATTACCCTTTCTGCTCCTAGGGACTTGCTAAGCAAAAAAGAGCAAAATGGAGAAAGTGAGTAAGGCTTTGGTATTCCTGCTCCAGGCTTAAAATAGAAAAGGGATTATTTTAAGGGGGCAGAAAGCTTACCTCATCCCTATTGGGAGCTTTAGGATAAGACTGCTATGTAGACCTCTAACAGGCACCCTTAGCATATTTAGGCAAACAAAGCCCCATGATCAGGTGGAGAGAAGAGTCTAGTCTGCCCTGCTAAACCTCCCTTGGTGCAGTCACTAAGAGCTAGGGCTTGTCTTGGGGCCTGCTGTGATGGGCCCATAGCAGAGACTGGGAGTGGATCACTGTGGGCATGATGGGCCAGATAGAGAACAGGGAAGTGACTCAGAGGCCCTTACAGCCATGGAGTAACAAGGCAAGGGATGTCATCAGAGAGGGGCCACCAAGCTATGACTAAACCAAAAAAGGAACCAGACAGGAAGTAGACTATGGAAGTTGTAGAAGTCAATAGATGGTGTAAATGTACAGAACTTGGTCAACCATACTTCAGAGGACAGCTGACTGGCCTTTTGCTTCCAGTGCCATGATGGTACAGGGAATGCTATATGGATCTGAAGACCCCCTTCACTCTCCTGTTGGGAAGTCATGAACACTCCACTCCTACACCCTTGATAACAAAGCAAAAGGGTTATGGGAGGGGCAGCTGGAAATGAGAGACTAGATAATCTTAAAGGAGCATTAAAATTAGTTGTTGAAAAATGCTTGATGTCAGATGGGCCATTTAGTTACTCCCACACTATCCCCTTAGAAAGTAGGACTTGTACTTTCTAAGTACAAGTAGACCAATAAAGAAACTACATTTTATATCTTCATTCAAGTTGTACTGTAAATTAAATTTACAATCCTTACACACACACACACACACACACACACACACACACTTCCGTTCTCTTTCATTATATGATTTATAATTCAACTATTTCTAGTTACCATTATAGTCACCTCACATTCAAGACATTCCAAATCCTGTGTCCTCTCTGTCAAAATCTGTCCCATTTTAGTAAATTTTCTGTCTCCATCAATGGCACCACAAAACACAAACCAGTGGCCTGTTAGTTTCTTATAATCTTGTCTCCTACTCACTCTCCCTACACTGTAGTCACCAATTCTGTAAACCCAATCTCATAATCGTCATTGCTTTCATAGTCACTATAGAGAGAAATGGTGTTTGTAGAACTAGGAAAATAGATACTCTTTAGGCTTTCACAAAAATGAAACTGGTGGCCAGTGTTTTGCAGAAAGTGTGAAAGGAAAAGGGAAACTTGATAATGTCTATGTCATGAAAAACAGAGAAAACTGGACCTTTAAAGTTATGTATGTAATAAAAGTATGTAACATGATGGCATGCAAATCATACATACGAACTTCTCGACAGTGGCCAACTCTACAGAAAAGAAAAGGAAAAGAGATGGAGGTAGGGGAGCCAAAATATTTTGATTTTTAATAAGAGAAAACTGATATGGCACAATATTTGCCTATGTTAAATCTGGGTGATGACATAGTTGTCTATGAATAATTCATTATGCCAGAGCATTTTATAAATACAAATATTAAAATCTTGGTATTGAGTTATTGAACAATGGCAGCCATAAAGATCATTACTTGAAATTAATGTTAAACAATGGTTTCAACACTTATCACGTTTGGCTGATAGGTGGTAAATAAAAATTTGTGGTATGAAAAAAGAAAGAATATATTCGTGGGATGGGAATGGTGTGGGATTCAGTAAGGGGAGCTGCCTTTCTTAAGGCAATTTAGTGTGTTAGAAAGAAGAAGGATTTTGGTACCGTGCAGACTTGGTTTTAAAACTCAGCTGTGACCTTTGTGACCTCAGGAAGATTCCTTAAACTCTGTAAGCTTTGAAATATATATATATTTCATTTCATTTCTCATATATATATATATATGAGAAATGATTAATGTAACCCTTTCTCTCTCTCTCTATATATATATACTGTTCCTCACTAAATATTAATATCGTTCCTGATATTTTAAAGAGGCTTGTGAATTCTTTAAACACAAAAATTAGAGTGTTCTGCTAGAATAATTAATGTGGCAAAAAGTTGTATTAATTGGGATATGTACTCCTTTATATATGGGAATGGAGCTATTAGAAGTCTAAGGCATGAATAAATTGTCTTCCTAGTTCTTATACTGAACGGACCATATAAATAAATTGTTAACTCAACATTTTTCTTATTTGAAACATAAAAGTGGCTAGGAAGGCCATGACCTCCTAGAGAAGAGAAGTTGGGTTTTATTATTTTAATGATGACGTTAATTTTACAGTTAATTAAATAAAATTCTCTTTACATATGGATCCAACTAATTTAAATCAATCCCTCTATGTCCCTTGTAATATCCCAAGTAGAATTCCTCCAGGTGTTGGCACAGATGTTTGGTCCAGGTGGACACAAATGAGAAGGTCATCAGCTTTGACTTCCAGACAGAGCTGACTAGCTCTCTCCAGCTAGTTGAAGTAGCTTCCATCACAGAACGAAGCCTTAATAAGGCAAAGTTGCACAACTATTTCATAGTTCAGATTACTCTTTCAAATCCTAAGGACACGGTAACCATCAATGTGAGCTTACTTGCTTTTCATACCTCCTCAGTAATGTACCAAGTCAATTAAAAGTTAAATTCCTGCAATCAAATGAAGAAATTTACCAGTCTTTCAAACCAGCTTAAGATCTGGTTTCTTGGTTCAAAACCTTTCTGAAGTGCAGCAAAAGACAAGTAGGGTATGCTGATACTTATTCAGGTTGATAGTCTTGGTGCCTGACTGAGCTTTCAATATTCAGTGATTTAAATAAATGAATGAACTCAGAGACAGAGCAGAAAGAGTGTGGGCAGAAATCTACCAACTTCAGAAAACAAAGAGAGTAAGGGAAGCACAGGCAGCTTTCCTTCTGTGAATGGGTGCAGAAACAGAGTCCTTGATGTTGGGCTAATAAGCAAGCATGTGTGTTCAGTATATATGTGTGTGTGCACCTCACATCTTAGACAAGATGTGTGGAAATAAATAGACTCTGGTAAGATTCCAAATAATAGTTGAAAATATTTGCAGAACTGTCACTTATGCTTGGCTTACAAGACATCTAAAGATTCATCTAGCATTCATTAATTTCATGATAATAGTGATTAAAAAACACATAATGGTTACACATGTAGAAAATATACCAAACAACTAAAAGTTCCTTGATATTGTTCATTAAAACTCATGTATTGTTACTTCCTCTACACTTTCCATTGAAAATAGAATTCTAAAGAATATAGCATTTCTTTAATGTTCCTGGAGTAACAAACAACTGTGTGAGATAATTCTGAGATAATTCTAAGCTAATTAGGGGAAAAATACTTGAAACCAAGCACCAAAAGGCTAATCATGGTTGTGTTTTAGAATCATATGTATTTTTCCTATTTTTGCAAGCCGAATAATATATTACTTTAAAGTAATATGTTACTTTAGTAATGAGAAAAATAAATGTTTTTAACAGCGCCCCCAATAATGTCATAATCAGGGGTCCTGAATGTCCTTCTCATGGCATATTTTTCTCAGATATACAGTCTGCTTTATGGGGAAGTCCACTGAGTGTCTTGCAGATGGTGGGATAAATCTGCTTTTGAAGGAGGGAAGGACCTGTTGAACTGGTTCCTCCCACAGAGAACTACTAGCTATTCCAAATCATTCTGTTCTGCCATGTGCCAAGAAGTTTATTATTGGAGCTTGCTTTTTTAGGAAAGTATTTATTTACAGATCAGATCTCACTAACTCTACAGTAACTATGCAACCACAGGCCCTATTCAGGTTTGTCAATAAACTCTTCCCCCAGCCTGGCCTCTCTTTCCACCCTGCTGGCAGCCCACAGGTGTTCATGACAACCAAGAGTGAAAAGATGCGAAGCTTGAAAAGTCACTCCATCATCCCAGTGGCCATAAAATTAAAAAAAAAAAAGAAAATTCTATTAATATAATTTTATTTATGATGATAAAATTAATGGATTTTATGGTTTTACATTATAAAAGTTAATATTATTCATACTCATCCCTACTGAGAACCCTCAGATATGGTCCTTCAAGTAAATTGTGTCCATTAACTTCATCAGAATGTCAGTGGGAATAATCGTTCATATTGGAAAAGTTCCCACCTCCATTTCAGACAACAGGTCACAAGTTCACCCAGCAAACAGCCTGTGCAATTGTACTAAAATCATCTTTTAACAAACATCCATTTTATAGACAGAAGAAAACTTTATTGACACGAACCTGAACCGTGCCCTTGAAGTGTTTTAGAAAGGCATACCTTCGAGCGTTGAAATGCTGCAGAATCCACGATTAACTACTTAATATGTAAATTATGTTCTCTCTTGTACCACCCGTAATGACTGCCGACTCGTATTAATGAGCTGGTGATACAGTAAGAAACAACGGTGCCCTTTCAAAGCTATAGGTGGAGCTGCAAGCTGATTCATGATCTAAGGCTATCTTTCTCCATTATGAGCACCAGTTGATGAGTATCTCCTCCCACCTCCTTTCTGTTGCTCCATACCTAACAGCTAAGGTGCTGGGACATCTTTTTTTCCACCCAGACAGCACCACTGACTTCTTTGCAAAAGTATCACCCCAACCCAGTGATCCAGAAGTCGAACTCAGTCATTCTGCACAATAAAGATAACAGCCCCTGGCCAAGGTCTATCTCAAAGCTTTCAAACCCACTTGTAAACGATCGAGCTTGACTCCTCTTCATTCAGCCTCAGTCTGTGTACTTGTTCAGGGGTTATGATAAAACTTGAGCAGAGGTGCTCCAGTGACCATACAGAACAGCATGCCATTTTTGACAAAAACTAGATTGCTGTGGCTTTTTATTTCTAAACAAACAAACAAAAATTACAAATGTTAAATCCTCCTCACGTATCTACTGAACATACTTATGACAAACCCAGGAGTCATATTTTAGCCACAAAATCATTTAGAAACCAACCCCAGAAGGAGGAGGGCTTTGGGTTGGCGAGTCCAGACTCCTGCTGCAGCTCTAAACGTGCACCCTTTTTCATCTCCTTTGTTCTTTTTCAGGAGAGAATTTTCAAAAGACTAACCCAGCACTTCGGTCTCACATATACTGCATACTCTGTTAATTCCCTGGGTTCAGCTTTGCTTTGGCATTACAGTGTTTGGATTAAATCAGAATACAAAGTTTAGCTCTGCAGGAGGGAAGGGTTGGTGCCTTTCCTCCCCATCAGGGCCACAGGCAACACTCTTGTAACAAAAGACAGGTTAACCAGAGAAAAGCATAACACATTTATTTAATCAAAGTTTTACATGACAGGGGAGCCTTCAGAGTTGAAGACCCAGAGACCCAGGGAAAACTGTCTCTTATGCTTAGGTTCGATGGAGAGTGGAAGGCCATGTAGAAATGCAGTTGGACAAAAGATACGCTCTAATGACAATAGTCTGGGGGTGGAGGCAGCAAGGCCTGCCTCTTCAGGTTGTTCTTGGCCTCTGTGTAGCATTCCTTCCTCATGGTTACGGTGCAAGACCCCTCTGGAATGAGAGTCTTTAAAAGAGAAGAGGAAATGACCTTTCTAGGATTTTTTGCCGGGCCTTGGGAGAGAGGGGTTCTGGTTTCTGTGACCCACCTTGCAGAGGACGAATTCTGATTTCTGTGACTTCCTCCAGAGGGAGAAAAACAGGTGGGAGACAGGAGAGCAGGAGAAGGTCGGAGAGATCTTGCTTCTGAGGCCTGCCAATCTCCTTAGGACAAAGTACTCAGCATGCCAAAGTACCATACTTCGGGATGTTGCATTCTGAGCACCAACAGTGCCAAACCACACCTCTTGGCCTTCTCTTGATGAATTTCGATGGTGCCTTTGCTGAGTACGGAGATGAAGTCAGCAGCATCTCTGGCCAGCAATGCCCTGCGCGGGTCTGGCTCCTCTTACTTCCACCAGTTCTCATTTCTATTCCAGAGCCATTCTTAGTCAAGGACGTTACAAATAGGTTCTATCGTTCCAAGGGTAAATAAGCCTAAAATGAAATCTTTCAGCACAGAAGAAAAGTGCTTTATTATTAAAATGCATTTTAGGCAAGTACCAATAGTGCTTTGTTACAGACCCACTCCCTGAGAACTTTAATGTTCCCCTGGAAAAATATCGCACTTCATGATGTCCTGTACAGTCCTTTTTTTCTTTTTCTTTTCTTTTCTTTTTTTTTTTTTGTTTTTTGAGATGGAGTCTTGTTCTGTTGCCCAGGCTGGAGTGCAGTAGCGCGATCTCGGCTCACTGCAAGCTCCGCCTCCCGGGTTCACGCCATTCTCCTGCCTCAGCCTCCCGAGCAGCTGGGACTACAGGCGCCTGCCACCACGCCCCGCTAATTTTTTGTATTTTTAGTAGAGACGGGGTTTCACCGTGTTAGCCAGGATGGTCTTGGTCTCCTGACCTCATGATCTGACCGCCTCGGCGTCCCCAAGTGCTGGGTTTACAGGCATGAGCCACCGCGCCCGGCCTACAGTCTAGTTTTATGATTACATTCTGATGGAGCCCTGGGTAAGTAGAGGTGAAGATGGCTTCCGGATGAGAAAACAACCCACTTGTAAACAGTGAAGCTCCAGACTCCATGGAAAAAGTGTTCCATCCCGGCCTTAGAAAGAATTCGTCCAGAGCCACATCTGCAATTTCAGGTTGCTTTATTGAGGGACACTCACTTACCTGGTCTTAGGGAGCTGGGTTTGAAGGAGCCATGTAATTCCACAGTCTTCCTTGGTCACTTGTTTGTTTACTTTCCTGTTCAGAGTGAGTATAAAATTAGCCAAGTGCTGAGGCAAAATGAGAGGAAAAACAGTAACATCCTGTCCTTGTCACTCCTCTTTTTGTTTCAGTTACATAAATCTTAAGGGAACTATGAGTGTTTGTTTATGGCCAACAAGTCTATTAATGACAGCATGTTATCATTTCCAAAGGCAATGAGGTCCCAAACTAACGCTACCTTGAAATACTGATTTCAAAACCACAACTTTTTCGTTTTCTGAGAAATTTCAAGTTACTGTTACGTGAAATTTATGGGAGGGCATTTTTTTTTACTGAGCTCCTGCACTAGGTCCAACACAGACCAGACCAAATCAGAATGGAGTCACTCATGCTAGGTGCCACATAACCAGACTGAACTATAAACGGGCCAGTTTTCCAAAAAACAAGCTTCATAGCAACCCATCAGAAGGGGCCCAGCTTACCTGAGCAGGCATGATAAGGGAGTCCTCTCCAGTTTAATCCTATAAAGGAAGTAACTTGGCCAGGCGCGGTTGCTCATGCCTGTAATCCTAGCACTTTGGGAGGCCAAGGCAGGCAGATTGCCTGAGCTCAGGAGTTCGAGACCAGCCTGGGCAACACGGTGAATCCCTGTGTCTACTAAAATACCAAAAAAATTAGCCAGGTGTGGAGGTGTACACCTGTAGTCCCAGCTACTTGGGAGGCTGAGGCAGGAGAATTGTTTGAACCCTGGAGGTAGAGGTTGCAGTGAGCTGAGATCGTGCCACTGCACTCCAGCCTGGGTAACAGAGCGAGACTCCGACTCCAAAAAAAAAAAAAAAAAAAAAGAAGAAGAAAAAAAAGGAAGTAACTTAAAAATAACCAATCTGCTTTTTATTCTCCATTTCTGCTTCCTTTTTGCCTATAAAGCCCACCTCCCCTGCTCAGCCTATTGGAACATCTTTTCTAGGTATTTGGATGGGATGCTACTGAAGTCATAAATTTCCATTAAAATGTTATTAAACTAATTTGCTGAAATTAGTTTTGTAACATTACTTTGAATACTGAACGCAGGTTTGGGTAGTTCATGTGTGACTGAACCAGATCTTAAGGCTTTCTAATTTTCTTTCTTTCTTTTTTTTTTGAGACAGAGTCTCGCTCTCGCCCCAGGCTGGAGTGCAGTGCGCGATCTCGGCTCACTACAAGCTCTGCCTCCCGGGTTCACGCCATTCTCCTGACTCAGCCTCCCGAGTAGCTGGGACTACAGGCACCCATCACCATGCCTGGCTAATTTTTTTTTCTTTTTTTTTAGTAGAAATGGGGTCTCACCATGTTAGCCAGGATGATCTCGATCTCCTGACCTTGTGATCCACCCGCCTTGGCCTCCCAAAGTGCTGGGATTACAGGCGTGAGCCACTGCGCCTGGCCAAGGCTTTCTAATTTTCTTTACAACCTCCCAGCCATGAAGTTGGTTAAAGAAGGAGATATTGTTTATCTGTACTGACATCTAAATAGGTAAACTTGCAACTTTGAGTATGTAAGAACAACTGCAAAAGTCTAAGACCTATGGTATTCATTCAGCAATTTAACAATTATTGAATGCCTTTTGTGTGTGTGTGTGCCAGCCATTTGTGTCAAAGCCAGATATAAGAGTGAATAAAATAAAGAAGGTTCCTGTTCTTGTGGAGCTTACATTTTAGTAACAACATCTCATTTGGATAAAGAAGGAACTTGAGTCAAGCTCTCTGGCAGGCTCTTGTGTGAGGTAATCATTTGTCAGATGTGGAAATGGAGCTCATTGCTTGGACTCTTTGTCCTGACAAGATGTTGCTCTTTTATTTTAATTATTACAAAATGAGCAGCTCTGTTGAAGAGCTATGTAGTGTTGTTGGAAAGCCTGGGGATTCTTGAAATTGTTGAGGTTGTCTTTTGAATCTACTGAGTTTGGCACACACTGGACTTTTGTTTTAATGCTAAAATTGTTTGGGGTCAACACTTATCTAGTAATATATAGTAAATCTTATTATTCAGGCGTTAAATATCTTTATTTTCCACCATCGCCTTCAAAATTCAGAGCCTCACACAGGCTGAGTTTCTTGGTACTAAGAAGTAACTGATTCAGTTATTTGACAATCAAACCTTCCCTCTCTATCTTTGGGCTAATTATTGTGTGGCAAATTTTGCCTTCCATTTTATTATAGCTAAACCTATTTTAGAGAAGTGTTGGTTTAATAGACTCTTTACATTCTGTATACTTTGTATACATTGAAGTAATTTGCTACACAAATATTCTTTTGAATTTTTATCAGTCTGTCTTTTCCATCCTGTTCCTGTGCCTTTCATCTCAATCTCCCCAGAGGTTCTATAGCAGCAATGAGATAAACAAGTGTCAGTACAGAAAGAGGAATATACCAGCTTATTGTGGTTTATAAGAAATAACTGAATGAGGAGGCAGGGAAGAAATATATTTCAGAGACAGTCAAAATGAAGATACTGCATCATTTCCTTGTTCATTTTCAAAGTAAAGTTTTTCACAATTTGACACCATTTGTTTTATTTTGGTATTGATTAAGAGAATATCAAATTCTTAGTCAAATGCAACACATACAAACTAACATTGATTATTTTAGAATTATCAGTCCTTTTGATCATTCATCGTTTTGATATCCTCTATGAATGTGAAAAACAAATTCACTGAACAGTCCTACAACCATGAATAGGCAGATGCCTGTTAAACCAATTAAATGATATAGCTGCAGAAACTGAGGCACAGAGAGAGATCAAATAACTTGTTTAACAGAACTAGTGAATGGCAGAGTAAAGATTTAAACCCAGACATCCTGGCTTTCAGTCAGTGCTTATGCTTTTGAGGTCTAGTACATACTGTTTCCTAAATACTATACACTTTAAAGTATATACTTATGAATGTTTCAGAAACACCTGAAGAGTTTGTAAAAATGCAGATATCTAGGTCCCATTCCCATAGAATCTGATTCAGTTGGCCTGGGATGGGTATCTCGAGACTATTGTTTAATGACAATTCTTAGGATGGGCTTAGTCCATTGGTCATTCTTTGAAAAAACAGTGGTTTGTGGTCATGTGAAGTATAGTAAAGCTGTTAAGTGCAGAGGGTCAGAAATTGAATCACCTGAGCTGGTATTCTAACTCCTCTAGCTGTGGGCAAGTTGCTTCAACTCAGTTTTTCAACTTCTACAATGGGATGGCGATAAGGAGTTTTGATGAGGATTTAGTTCCTTAGTACATTTAACTGCTAAGTAAAGTGCTGGCAAATTGTATACTCTCAATTTGTGTCAGAGTGCCTTAGTGCAGCACAGGTGACGTGCGTAGTTAATTAATTCAGGTGTTGTGTATGCAGATACCACAAAAAATAACATAAATGTTTTTTTTCCTTTATCCAAAGAGAAACATCAAGGTTCTGACCTTTATTGATTTCTAACATCTTTTATTTTTTCCCCCAACTTTAAAATCATTTCTCCAAGGTCTTCGACTTTAGCTCTTGGGTTCCTGGCTCTCTCTCTCCATTTGTAAGAATAAGAATCTGTTTTTCTGCCTTCTGCATCTCCTGCTGAGTTGACCTGATCGTGTAGCTTTAAATTGGGTCAGCTGGGGGGAAAAAGGTGGGGGTGGGAGAAGATAAAAGGCTTTTATGGAAATCTGAGATTAAATTCTCACCAACCTGCAAAAGTGTCATCCAGGTCTTTGTTCTCTGTGTCTTCTTTAGTGCTAGTGTGGTTACATGACATAAAGGTGAATTATTTAAGTAATGCCATTTTACTCCTCTTGGCATAATCACCGTACTTTTGCTTCTTTCCAATGATGACAGACAAGCGCCTCAGAGAATATTCAAAAGCCTTTGTAGTAGAAGGGAACTGAAAATGAACCAATACCTCTTACAAAAAGAAATCCTGACTGAACTGTTTGGGGAGAGTATGGAGTTTATCTTTAAATATTCTGATATTATTCTAGTTATCAACTAGGAAAAGCAAATACTATATCATGTAGCTGGGAATTTAGTCTCCCTTTAGGTTGGAAGAAGGAAGAAATTCAAAACAGAACATGAAAAGGGAGACTCCTGCCCTGTGGCCCCATTGTATACTCCTAATGTGTTCCTTGAGTCCTTGACCATATAAATGTGGTCCCATTGAGTTGAAGGAGAAATATGTGAGGATTGGTCAGGACACAGAAGGAAGGGAATCCTAATTGTCTTATACACATTACTATCTGGAGATGCTTAGGAGATATGTGAATTTTTGTTTTAGTGGTTTCTTTTCTTTCTTTTTTTTTTTTTTTGAGACGGAGTCTCACTCTGTCACCCAGGCTGGAGTTCAGTGGTGTGATCTTGGCTCACTGCAACCTCCGACTCCTGGGTTCAAGTGATTCTCCTGCCTCAGTCTCCTGAGTAGCTGGGATTACAGGTGCCCACTACCACGCCAGGCTAATTTTTGTATTTTTAGTAGAGACAGGGTTTCACCATGGTGGCCAGGCTGGTCTCGAACTCCTGACCTCAGGTCATCCTCCCACCTTGGCCGCTCAAAGTGCTAGGATTACAGGCGTGAGCCACCGCACCTGGCCTAGCAATTTCAGTTCAGACTCTAGGATCCCATATCACCTGGTCTCTATTTTGTTCTCTTGGCAATGTTCTTGAGGGTCAAGAATTTCCCACCCTTTTATGGAGTCAAATTGTCTCTCAAAGCCTGGTGGGTGGTGTCATTATGTTGCCTATCTTAACATTTTTTTATGGAGGAAGAAAGTGCTGAAAACACCCTGACCTATTTTTACTTCCTGTTATCACCAAATCTGTGTATGTTTACCTTTTAGTTTTTAAAGACGTTCACATTGGAAAGAAATGCTGAGGACTGAGCTGCCATATCCTAACAGTTTGACTCAATCCCTGTTTCTATCACAATCCTAGAAAAATTAAACAGTCCTGAAATGTGTTGAGCAAATATATGTCACATGCCATTTAAACATGAGAAACATGGTGTATAAAAGACACAAAAGCAGAGGTATATAAAAGACAGAAAAACAGAGGAACTGAAGCTAATTATATAAAGTAATTAGTATGAATTTGCATAGTGTTTATATATGTGTTATATGTATAATGTATACCATATGCTCTTTACTTTAGACCAGTTAAATTTGCTGAGATGATGGAAATGTTCTCTATCCGCGCTGTTCACCAGAGTAGCCAATTAGTTACATGTAGTAATTGAATTCCTGAAATGTTGCTAGTGTGATTGAGGAACTGGATTTTTAATTTTATCAAATTTCGATTAATTTAAATTCAAATAGCCACATGTGGCTAATAGTTACAGTATTGGACAATGTGGGTTTAGACTGGTCTGATTGGAGTAGGGAGAAAGACTGTGGTGGAATAAAGACTCATTTTTGGATAGGTAGGTCCACTTGGAAATATAGTCTGCTCATTTTTAAAGAAAACATATTTCCTGTGCTTAGGTTTGTTTACTGAGAATAGAACAAGGGACTGAAAATGTAGAAAAGAAAACTATTGTTTCTTTGTCACTGATTTTACTGTACCTATATTTTGGTGAAATAGATTAAAATAAAACACACAGGCATATACTAATACATACTCATGTTTATGTATAACAAATAGAAATTTTATTAAGCATTGAAATATTTTTAAAAGTTTTTTATTGAGGTATAATTGACAAACAAAAATTATATATATTTGTGGTACATCGTGATATTTTGACTTACTTATGCATTGTAAAATGATTACCACAATCAAGATATTACATACCCGTCACACCTTATCTAGTGTCTTTTTTCTGTGGTGAGAACATTGTAGATCTATTCTCTTGGCAATTTTCAAGTGTACAAAGCATTATTATTAACTATAGTTACCATGCTTGCAATTGATCTCTAGAATTTATTCATCCTGTCTAACTGAAACTTTCTAGTCTTTGGCTAACATCTCCCTAATCTCAGCCACTGTCCCCCTTACCCCCAATCTCCAGCCCCTGGTAACCACCATTCTACTTTCTAAGAGCTTGACTATTTTAGATACTCAAATAAGTAGAATCATGCAGTATTTGTTGTCTTGTGACTGGCCTATTTAACTCAGTGTTCTCAGGTTTCATTCATGTTGTTGCATATGATAAGATTTTCTTCTTTTTAAAGGCTTTATAATATTTCATTGTATGCTTATACCACATTTTCTTTATCCATTCATTTGTTGATGGACATTTAGGTTGCTTCTATCTCTTGGCTAAAGAGATAGACAAGATTCAATGAACATGGGTGTGCAAATAATCTCTTTTAGATCCCACTTTAAATTCTTTTGGATATATACCCAAAAGTGGGACTGTGGAATAATATGGTAGTTCCATTTTTGAGGAAACTTCATACTATTTTCCATAACAGCTTCACCATTTCGCATTTTCACCTGGAGAGCACCAGGGTTCCAATTTCTACAAATCTGAGGGTGGGCATCCTAACGAATGTGAGGTTATGTCTCACTGTGGCTTTGATTTGCATTTTCCTGATGATAGTAATATTGAGCATCTTTTTAAATGCTCATTATCCATTGGTTGCATGTAGTCTTTGGAGAAATCTCTATTCAAGTCATTTTCCTAATATTTTATTGGGTTATTTTGCTGTTGTTGAGTTGTAAGAGTCATTTATATATTCTGGATATTAAACTCTTATCAGATATGTGATTTGCAAATACCTTTTCCCATTCCATGTATTGCCTTTTCACTCTTTTAATTGTTTCCTTTGCTGTGCAGAAGCTTTAAGTTTGATATAGACCCATTTGTCTATTTTTGCTTTTGTTGCTTGTGTTTTTGTGTCATATCCAAGAAATTATTGCCAAATCCAATGCCATGAAGATTTTCCTCCATGTTTTCTTGTGGAAGTTTTATAATTTCTGGCCTTATGTTTATTTCCTTAATCCATTTTGAGTTAATTTTTGTATATGGTATAAGATAAAGTAGAAGTTCATTCTTTTGGTTGCGGTTATTCAATTTCCCCAAAACTATCTGTTGAATAAACTGTTCTTTCTTCATTTTGTAGCCTTGGTGCCCTTGTTGAAGATAATTTGACCATATATCTGAGGTTTTGTTTCTGGGTTTTCTATTCTGTTTCATTTGTCTATATTTCTGTTTTTTATGTCAGTGCCATATGGTTTTGATTATTGTAGCTGTTATGAATGGAATGTTTGTTTCTCCTCCAAATTCATATGTTGAAGCCGTAACACCCAAGGCAACTGTCTTTGGAGACAGGGCCTGTGAAGAGATTACAAAGGTTAAATAAGGTCATAAATATGGGGACCTAACTCGATAGGGCTGATGCTCCTACAAGACGAGGAAGAGAAACCAGAGCTCTCTCTCTTCACACGTGCACAAAGATGAGGTCATGGGAATGCACAGGGAGATAGCAACTGTCTACAAACCAGGTAGAGAACCCTCATCAGGAACTGAATGAGCTGGCATCTTGATCTCGGACATCCGATTCCCCAGAACTGTAAGAAAATAAATTTCCATTGTTTAAGCCACCGAGTGTATGGTTTTTTGTTGTAGTAGCCTGAGCAGACTAAAACAGTAGCCTTGACACTATGTTTTGAAATCAGGAAGTGTGAGGCTTCTAGCTTTGTTTTTCTTTCTTAAGATTGTTTGGCTATTCAGGGGCCTTTGAGATTCAAGGTGAATTTCAGTTTGGTCTTTATATTTCTGCAAAAATATGTCATTGGGATTTTGATCAGGATTACATTGGATCTGTAGATATCTTTGGGTAGTGTGGATATTTTAACAATATTAAGTCTTCAAATCCGTAAACAGAGAATATCTTTCCATTTACTTATTTCTTTCAGCAACATTTTGTAGTTTTCAGTTTACAAATCTTTTACCTCCTTAAGTTTATTTTTAAGTATTTTATTCTTTTTGATGCTATTTTAAATGGGATTGTTGCCTTTTCTGATTTTTCATGTTTAGAAATGCTACTGATTTTTGTATGTTGATATTATGTACTGTGGTTTTTGCTGAATTTATTTACTAGTTCTTACAGTTTTTTGTAGGGGAGTGGAATCTTGGAGGGTTTCCTATACATGAGAACATGTCATATGTGAGCAGAGAAAGTTTTACTTCTTCCTTTCCAATTGGGATTTCTTTTATTTCTTCTTATTGTCTACTTGTTCTGGCTAGGACTTCCAGTACCATGTTGGATAGAAGTGGAGAGAGTGGGCATCTTTGCCTTTTCCTGATCTTCTAGAACAGGCTTTCAACTCTTCACCATTGAGTATAATGTTAGCTGTGGGTTGAGATAATTTCTTTCCATCTCTAATTTGTTGAGTGTTTTTATCATCAAAGGGTACAATATTGCTGGTTTTGAATATGGAGGAAGAGTTCCATGAATCAAGGAATGTGGGTGGCCTCTAGAAGCTGTAAAAAAGAAGGGGAAAGAGTCCTCCTTAGAGTCTCCAGAAAGGAATGCAGCACTAGGCTTGAACCTTGATTTCAGACTAGGCAGACCTGTGCTGAACTTTTAACTCACAAAATGTATGATAATAACTTTTGTGTTTTAAGCTGCCATAATTAGTTATATCAGCAATAGAAAACTAATACGTTAGGCCCATCCACACCGGGAGGTTTTCTGTAAATGGGCAGACTCATGTAAAGTAATAGCCTCAATACATAGTGCTTCACGGTTTGCAAACCATTTGTGTCCATCCGTCTGTTATTTTATTTAGCCACGTGATGTTTAAACTTGCCTACTGTGATTTTGCTAGGCTTTGGGGAAATGAGGTGAATAAAATGATATTTATCCCTTACCAGACACTTTGAGACATTTACTTTTATCTCCCTTTCCAAATAAAAAAGTAGTTAGATACTGATAAATTTAGTGACTTGCCCAAGGTAACACCAATAACCTTCTCACTTCGAACGTAGAGCTGTTTCCACTAGAAAGTCTTAGAAGAATAGCAGGTTGTGTTTAGCTAGATGTCTGTTCTGATGTAACTTGCAATTGCTTTGTCATTTCCTATCTGTTACATGAACCTGGGTAAGGCACTTCACCTTTTAGCGTTTATGTTTTCTGTGAAATGAGAGATAAATGCTTAAACAAATACCCCAAGGGTAAATGAGATGTGGGTAGGACTTTTTGACACATCTTGTAGGAAAATGTTACTAATGAATGCTATGATTGTGCCTATTATTTTAGACCTCAGGATATTCTGGGCTACATGTGCATTACTTTTAATGAGCATGGAATTTAGCAAATAAACATTAGTAAGTAGACATGGAATTTAGCAAATAAACATTAGTAGTATCCATGCTATTAAATGCATGAAATAGTTATACCAGCAGACAGGTTATGGCCATAAAGAATGTTGACCTTAAGTATCATCTGCTTATTATCTCATTTGCTGAAAAATTATTTTGCATCATTATAATTCTACAGATGTTTCACAGATGTCTTTAAGGATATATTTCTGTGGGTTGTTATTAAGCTAACTTCTGTGTACTACAGCAGATTTCCATAGCATATTAATGAGAACATTATGGAATTGTAAATAAATACGTTTGTAGCTATCAAGATGAAGAGCAGAACTATAAAAATGGTTATAAAAATCTAATTAACATTTTAACAGTAAAAGCTTGCTGCCTTGATACCACAAGGGAATGGTCTCAGTCAGTAGATAAAATGAAGAATTCCCAAGTGGGCTTAAGAGTAGATGAAATACTGCTATCAATATTTAATGGGATGTGTCGGATTTTACCACCATTTGAAAGGATGCAAATAGGGGTTACCATAGAAATCACCTTGACAGAAAACTGCACA
Organism: Homo sapiens; assembly: GCF_000001405.40. Classification (NCBI taxonomy): domain Eukaryota; kingdom Metazoa; phylum Chordata; class Mammalia; order Primates; family Hominidae; genus Homo; species Homo sapiens. The sequence goes on along the minus strand of NC_000006.12, from coordinate 104,402,075 downwards.
AAATGCAACATAAACTATCCCTTAAGCAGCCTTGCAGGGATTGCTGTGATTTCCGACTATAGTCTTCTCATGTAATTGTTCGATAGTGGGAAAAAATGCCTCGTTCGTGTGTGTGTGTATGTGTGTGAGTGTGCATGTATGCCCAACATAACTAAAGAATTATAAGAACAGTATGGAAATTCTAGAGGCAGGTATCTTCATATTTCTTTATATCATAATTACTCTTTGATAAAGCTATAAATGCCAAAGTTATTTACAGCTTTAACAAGGTATTCATCATAGCCATGCTGCTGAAAGACAAAGCAATCTCAGAGATGTTATATTTAAATTTAATATTCTTTTTTACATTTTAGTGGCAATATTCTTTTGTGTCATGGCTCTGAGATAAATAAACATTGCATTTTAGCAGCCTGGTCTTGGACCAATTAGATGAGTTTCCTCCTAGACACAAACTTCTGTTGTTGAAAAAAAAACCATTTTTTTCTTTGAAAAAAATTGGTACACATGCTCTCCTTTAACTATTCTACAATTACAACACTGGGACTAAGCTAAAAAGAAATTACACTTATTTCACAGACTCTTTCAGCAAAAGGAGATGATATTATAAGTTTCTCTCCCCATTAAAAATGGGTGGAATAGAAATCTGAGGTTGCAATAGGAATTTTTAAAATAATCATTAGTTGTTAAACCAAAGGGAAAAAGAGCAATTTTAGACATATGAATGTTTAAAAAATTGTAATGGTTATCGAAAAAGATGAAGAAAAATCTGGCACAATTTTTTCTTCAAATGACTTATGTATGTTTGAGTTGAATGAATATCATTTTCATATTAATAGCATAAACATAAGCATTATCAACAAACAAAAACTCTCAAGTTCCACTTTATGACCCATTAAGGGAGACATAAAGAGGAAAAGAAAATGGAAATACTTACGGAAAGGATAGAATGGTCACTAGAGATAAGGAGAAGCCATGAGAAGGGAGAGTAAGAGAGAGATATAGGAAGCTTTTGACCAAAGACAGGCTGTGCTAGGAAGGGAGGGGAGGAGAGGAAACGCATGAAGCCAGGTGGAGACGCCCTCTCCACAACTTTCCCTGAAAATACGTTACAGATTTAAAAAAAAGAGGGGTCACATCTCTCAGAGGTATGTAAACACTATACACAATTGAGAAAAAGAAATAGGCCTTTTTCCTGTCAGATTTAGAGCGCTGTGTTTCTTTTTTTGTATCAGGCCTTGAGTTTTATTCCCACTGGTCTAAAAACTCCTAACATTTTTTAATCTTCCCAATTCAAAGCTCCTAACCACAAAGGATTGAAAGACATAAAGAAACTACAAAGAGAAACTGACAAACCTACAAACATAGAAGGAAGTTTAAAATATTTCTCCCTGTAACACAGAACAAACAGCTGGAAAAATTGAAGAGAGAAAGAAAAGGAGATTTGAATAACCTATTGAAAGCTTGCTTTAATAAATATGTATAGAAGCTTGTATCCAACGCAGAGAATGAACATTGATTCACAGTACATAGAGATTATTTTCAAAATTCACTTGGGCAAGGCTACAATAGAAATCTCTACAAATTCCAAAAATGTCAACAGCATATTGATTCTCAATCACAATGTAATAATATTTTAGAAATAAGAAAAATGTAAATTTTTTTTCTTTCTGACTATCCTGCATGATTTGGAGGATGGGTACAGTCACAAACAATTTTTGGGTTAAAGTGGAAATTAATTACAAATCAGAAAACATTTATCACTCAATAATTTCTAAAGCATTATGTATCAAAATTTAGTGGAGGCAGTTAAAGTGAATCTTAGAAATTTATAGTCTAAATTTCTGTATTAGGAATATAAAAATATTTGAAAACACAAGATAACTGTTAAATTTGAGGTACATGAAAGGAAAAAACAGTGAAACTGAAGAATTTAGAGTAAAGGAAATTAAAGAGAGGGTAGCAGAAATTAATGAAATAGAAAAAAGGCTTCAAAATAAAAATCATTAACAAGGGTTTCCAAGCAAAATTAGAAGGACTGATGAAATAGACAAACCTCTGCTAAATCTGATCCAAAAGGTAAATAAGACAGGCTCAAATAAAGAATATTATTGGTAGAAAAGAAAATATAAATGCAAATATAAGATATAAGTAGAGATTCAATAATTCAAAGAATGTCTGATAAGAAACTTGATGCCTTTATATTTCAAAACTCAGAAAAAATGTAAACAATTTTAGGAAAAATATAAGCAAACTAACAGTGACTCAAAGAGAAAATGATAACAAGGAAGAGGTATCAAAGTTGTTAAAAAGTTCCACTTGCCTATCCAAAACACCAGACACAGATCAGTTTTTGGAAGCTAGTTTATTAGTATTATTTAGCATATTAACCAGGAATATCTTATACAAACTTCTCAGATTATATAACAAGAGTAAAGCTACCAAATTCATTTTATGAGGTTAATATCATCTTGACATGGAAATTGTAGGAGCAGATTAAAAAATAATAAGCCAATTGCACTTATAAAACTAGATATGAACACTCAAAATCAAATATTAATAAGGAGAATCTAGTAATATATTAAAAATAATATGTCATGATTAGATAGGTTTTATTTTGGGAATGCAAGCATGGCTTGACGTTTGAAGATTCATTAAAGAGCACCTAGTTAAAAATGAACTGGACACAAATATTTATCTTTACTCTCTCCAAAAGAAAACCACATGAAAATGTGGCTGAAAGCAAAAGAAAGTTTAGCCTCGTGGGAACAGTTAATGAGAGAGGAGAGAGCACAAGATGAGAAATGCCAATACAATTTTGGAAGCACAAAAGCAAATGAATGAATGGTTACGGATTTAACAGATTGTTGGAGTGCAAGAAGGATATCCAAGAAGAAGCAATCCAATTAAGAAGATGAAACTTAAAAATCTCAAAAATTGGAGGCATCAGGTACTTGTGGAGTCAGGAAAACTGGTTTAAAGACTATTAAGAAGCAAAACCACATGTCACCTTCCCTGCCCAACACAACTGTACAACTATTTCTCCTCCACCACAGCAGAAGACTGGATATTTGCTTGTGGGGGTTGAAAGAGATGCACTCTCCACGCATAGACATAAGGCCTGTCTGAAAGATTGGGAACAATTATGAAAATGGGATTGCATCTAATAATCTTAACCCGTTTTTCCTTTTTGCTCAGAGGACCCTGTCAACCAGGCTTACATCCCTCTGGGTGGAAGACGAGAAGATTCATTGATGGGCAGACTGATCACTTTTTTTTTCTTTTTTTTTTTTTTTTTTTTGAGACAGAGTCTTGCTCTGTCACCCAGGCCGGAGTGCAGTGGCACGATCTCGGCTCGCTGCAAGCAAGCTCCGCCTCCTGGGTTCATGCCATTCTCCTGCCTCAGCCTCCCGAGTAGCTGGGACTACAGGCGCCTGCCACCACGCCTGGCTAATTTTTTGTATTTTTAGTAGAGACGGAGTTTCACCATGTTAGCCAGGATGATCACTGTTTTTGTGTTTGTGTGTGCATATGCATACACACGTGTGTACATGTGCATATGGTGTACGTGTGTATATGTGTATTATGCACTTACTGTATGCCAAATAGATACACTAAATATTATCTAATTGAATTTTTATCTGCAAACAGACTGGGATGAAAAAGGATGAAGGAAGAAGACTGCTGATTAGACAGTCTTGTGACAAAATATGAGAAGTAATTAAAATAATTCTAAATAAGTATGAAAGCATTTGTTTATTCCTCCAACAGACAAATATTGAGCACATACTGTATGCAAGGTCTTTAAAAATACGCCTAACATTGCTTTTAAAACAATTATTGACATGATCTTAGAGGATAGGGAAAATTGAGTGGATATTGACTTTGTTATCCTTACAAACATTGATTAAAAACAGATTATTATACATTTTGGGAAACTGAATATTACCGATGACCCAATATTACTATTTTTCTATTAAAAAGTAATGTAAAGACAGTATAGCATAAAATTTCATGTGATTATATGGTTTTAAAATAATGAATTACAAATTAAGTCAGTTATTTCCATATAATACCACTTTATTTGAATCCAAAGAATTGCAATAATTTTTTTAACATTAATACTTTTTATTTATGGTGAAGTGACACTGCTTATAATTTAAGATGAGTCACAAACATGATCTCATTGGTTCTCACAACAAACCTTTGAAGTATTTGGAGGAAACGGCAGCAACTTTATTTGCAGATGTTAAAACAGTTACAGTGGCACTTTTAAGCATAGGACTTGAAATTGAGAGCCTTAAGTTGGGATCTTAACTGTGCTGCAATTAGCACTGTGAGCTTGGGTGAGCATTTATCCCGTCTGGACCTCAGCATTCTTAGCTATCAAATACAAGGTTTAAAATTTTGTTTTTCGGCCAGGCACGGTGGCTCACGCCTGTAATCCCAGCACTTTGGGAGGCCGAGGCGGGCAGATCACCTGAGGTCAGGAGTTCGACACCAGCCTTGCCAACATAGTGAAACCCATCTCTACTAAAAAAAAAACCAAAAATTAGTCTGGCGTAGTGGCAGGCACGTGTAATCCCAGCTACTCAGGAGGCTGAGACAGGAGAATTGCTTGAACTCTGGAGGCGGAGGTTGCAGTGAGCCGAGATCTCGCCATTGCACTCCAGCCTGGGCAACAAGAGTGAAACTCTGTCTCAAAAATAAATACATAAATTTAAAAAAGTTTTGTTTTTCATGGCATTCTTGTGTCTGTAATCTGAGAAAGAAAACTTCACTAATTAGGAATTGTTCCAATTGGTACCTAAACTATCACTTAAAAATATTTTTTAAAGTTTTAAAATTCTATGGTTAATTTAGTTTTGTCTCCTCACCCCTTCCACCCCCTTTTCTTCTCCCTTCTTTGCTTCCTTCCAAAAATTATATTTGATAGATTATAGGAAAAAAAAAAAGTCCTGAGAGAGCAGCTTCTGGGTTGGTTGATTCTGCCACTCAGTGATGACATAATTGGAACTCCCATTCTTGTCAAATTTTCACTCGCTGTCCTCAGCATAGTGACTAGGTTTTGACTAGTGCTCCTGTTTTCAAGATAGCTGAGACAGTTCCACTGGAATATAGAAACAAGACAACGTCCAGTAGAAGAAGAGAGACAGCTTTTCACTAGGTCTCTTTGTATGCCTCTTTTCTTTGCCAGCTTCCCCTCCAGACTTCTCGTGTGTCACTCCATTGGCTAAGATTGCTTCACATGTTCGTGTCTAACTGATTGCTGGCAAGGAAAATGGAATCACGGTGAATGGATTAAGCTAGTCAGAATCCACTCCTCCCCTCTGGAGCTGGGGCCAGAGCTCTTCTTTCTTGCTCCAAGTATCTTGAGGAAAATGGAGTCTGCATGTGGCATTGGCTTCATTCCCTACTCTATTGCATCTTTACATGCTGCCCCTGTGGTCTGAAATTTTATTCTCAATTTTCTGTCAGAATATCTTTATTCATCTTTCAATATACATCTCAGTTGTTATTTCTGAGTGGCTCATGATGATGACGAATAAAGCCAACATAAGCGTGTACACTCAAGTTTAAATAATATTTTAGCAATCGTTTTCAACATTTGAAAAAAATTGCAATAAAAACAGATCTAAGAGTATGAGAGCAATTAAAAAAAAACAAGTGATTGGACATCAACTATTGCCAATAATATATAATGGGAAGCAAATATTCTTGTTCTTTAAAACATCTGAGTCACCAAAACATATTAATTGCACTTACTTGGAAGGAAACCAATTCACATTAAGGTTTTCAAAATGAGGAAGTACGGAACTTTGAAACACTCCTTCCATTATAATGATGTGGCAATTTGCATCGGGGATGTGCACGTCCACTCTGAGTACAGTGGGGAGCAATGTGGAATGTGTGGGGTGGATATTGATCACCTCAATGGAGATTCTTAGTGGAAACCTGGGTAGAGTTGAAAGAGGGAACAAAGAAAAAAGATACTTTATTTATTTATTTATACCTAAACAAGATATATAGCATCTAGAAAATAGCAGACTTGATATTTCTCCTATCTGGGAGACAATCCTTATAAATGAAGAAACAGTAGCAGATTCTTGTTCTTCACTTTTTTTTTCTCTTAAGCTGTTGGCAAGGACTTGGTCTGCACTGAGAGACAGAGGAATTCACTCCACTGGCAATGCTTTTGGATTGAATTGGGATCATAGCCATTGTGACAGGTCTCTTCCATTACAAAACTGTCTCTCGGTTACATTTGAATCCTGCAGTGGTGTTGTATCTGTCAGGATACCAATAGGATATAAGGTTGTATCTAAGAGGAGAATTATGGGAATTGGCTAATGCAATTATGAAGGTCAAGAAGTCTCATGATATGCCGTCTGTAAACTGGAGACCCAGAAAAGCTGATAGTGTGATTTGGTTAGAGTCTGAGGCCTGATAACTAGGAGAGCCAATGGTAGAACTCTCAGCCTGAGGCTGAAGAACTGAGAACTTGGAGGGGAGAAGAGCAGGAGGGTGCTAATGTAAATCCCAAGGTCTGAAGTCCCAAGAACCAGGAGCTCTGATGTCCAAGACTGAGGGAAGATGGATGTCTGTCCCAGCCCAAGAACAGAGGGAGTGAATAAACCCTTCCTCTGTCTTTTTGTTTTATCCAGGCCCTCAACAGATTGGATGATGCTTGCCCACATTGGTGAAAGCAGATCTTTACTCAGTTTGCTGATTAAAATGCTAATCTGCTCTGGAAATATGCTCAAATACACACCAGAAGTAATGTTTTAGCATCTCTCTGGATATTCCTTAGCCCAGTCAAGTTGACACATAAAATTAACCATCACAGGTGTGAAATCATCTGTTGCATGAGTTAGAGAGAGAGATTATGGTAACCTTTTCCAGGCTACCTTCTCTGATCCTTCACTACCATGAATAGTATCACCTTCTCACTCTGTGTGTTCTCTGACTATTGCTATTTTGTGCTGTCTTTTAATTTTTTGCTTGTTTTCCAATTTCCATAATATTGTGAATTTGATAGAGTCCTCCTCACTTTTATCTTTAATCTCAAGCCTTTTATATAGTGGGTGCTGAACATGTGGGCTAATCTTACCATACTCCATGACTGCATCTAATCAGCTAAACAGAGGTAGCAAAAAAAATACAACCGTAATTATTGGCTTAATGTTAAATTTATGACCACAAATCTCAGAGATGGCTTTAACTGCTGCCCCCCAAAACCTATTACCTTTCCCTGGCAATTCACTGAGTAAAAGATTTTATGCTTTCTTTTTTTTTTAAAACCTCTAATACTCCCACTATCTTTTATTCTCAGGTGATGACCTTGCTTTTTATTTCACTGAGTAAATGGAAGTAATGGAAGAGAATTTCCACATGCAACCTGACAAAACACACCAAATTATCTATGTCCGTATAATGAGCATTCCCTTCTCTTGCAATGGATGGACTATCTAAGGCCTCACCCTTTCTAGTGCACTGGATCTTATCCCTTTCTGTTAAAGATGTCAATCCAAAATGGTCTATCTCTGCATCATCAATATTCATCTCTATAGTGAACATTTATCAATAGCATACAAATAAATATGTTGTAATATCTTCCATTAGGGAAAACCCTTTTCTCCACATTCTACTCTAACCATTGCATCATTTATATGTCTCCATTATAACAAAACCCTTACTCTTAGAAATTATTGTCTCTTCTTGCTAGCTCCATTTCATTTCTCTCCTACTTAGAACATATTTCTGTCTCATTTTCACCACTGAAAGAGCTCTTGTAAGGTTACTCCTATCAGCTGAATAGCATCCTCATTATGCTCAATCTACCAGCTGCACTTTTTACACTTGATTGTCCTTCCTCCTTAAAACCATCTCATATCTAGGTTTCTGAAATTCAGCTTTCTCTTGTTCTCCTTTGCCCTGACTGGCTGCTCCTACTCAGTGTTCTGTGCTGGGTTATCCTCTTTCCAACTTCAGTTAGTGAGAGTGCTTCAGGCTGTGTCCTTGGGCTATTGTCTTTTTTAGCAAAACTCACTCTCTAGGTGTCCTATTCAGGCTCTTGTCTTCCATCTTAGCTTGGGCTGACTCTAACAAAATACAAAAATAAACAACACACATTTAATTCTTGTTTATGGAGACTGGAAAATCTAAGATCAAGGAGCCACAGATTTGCTTCCTGATGAGAGATCTCTCCCTGGCTTGTAGGACATCTGCCTTCCAACTGTCTCCTCACGTGGTGAAGAGAGAGAGAGGGAGAGAGCTCTGGTCTCTTCTTCAGTGGCACACAAACATTCAGTTCATAACAGCTTCTCTACGTATATTTCCAGTCAAGAATTGCATACGTAACTACCTATTTGAAACTTCCAAGGGAGTTTCTGACTGATATTTCAATCTTAACAGTGGAACTCTTGACTCTTTTGCAGCCCCAAAACTGTTCCTCCCATAGTCAGCCACACCTCAGTCAGTGGTACTTCCATCATTCCAGTAGCTCATTCCAAAATCTTAGTGCACCCTTTATTGCTTTGTGTCATGCCACTTGTCCTGTCCACCACCAAATCTGTTTAGTCTACAGTTGCAGTATCTCACCACATCTGAACCACTACTATTCTAGTTCAAGATACCATTACCTCAAACCTGAACCATTGCAATAGCCTTCTAACTAGTCTTGCTGCTCATCTTAACAAGTCTATTTTTCAAACAGCTGCAAGAGAGAACCTTTAAAAAAGATGTTAGATTATATCACTCTTCTGTTCATAATGCTTAAATGTTTCCCATCTTAATCAGAATAAAATCCCTGGCCCCTCACTATTTTTCCAACCTTGTCTCCCATGTTCTCATTCTGCTCCAGCCACATGGATCTCTTGGGACTCTTTGAGGATGCCAAGCAAGCATCTGCAGCAGGGACTTTCTTCTCTGCCTGAAATTGTCTTTTCCCACAAAAGTATGACGTACTTTCTCCTTTACTTTAGCTCCTCATTTAAACATATTATTATCAGAAAGTTTTCCCAGCCAAATCTATATAACATCTGGCCCCTTTTCACAAACCCCTACTTAGCTTTTCTTCTAAGCCATTTTCCTCACCTAGCATATATATTTTTAATTTCTTCGAAACTTTACTAGTTTTTAAAATTTTAATTCTTTAACTGTAAATGGATGATTTATACATATATATGTATGAGGTAGAAAGTAATGTTATGATTTATGAAGACAAGGTGGAATAATAATAATAATTTTTTTAGAGACAGGATCTCACTCTCACCCAGGCTGGAGTGCAGTGGTGCAACTATGGCTCACTGCAGCCTCAGACTCCTGGGATCAAGTGGATCCTCCATCCTGAGCCTCCTGAGTAGCTGGGACTACAGGTGCATGCCACTTGGCCCAGCTAATGAAAAAAAATTTTTTTTTGGTAGGGATGTAGTCTTGCTATATTTTCCCAGATTGGTCTCAGCTCCTAGGCTTAAGTGATCTTCTCGCCTCAACCTCTCGAAGTGCTGGGATTATAGGTGTGAGACACCTTGCCCAGCCAATGTGGAATAATTAAATAAAGCTAGTTAACATTTCCATCACCTCAAATACTTAACATGTTTTTGTGGTGAGAATGTTTAAAATTTACTCTCTTAGCAATTTTTGAAATGTACGCTGTTATTAACTGTATTTACCACAGTGTGCTATAGATCTAATAAAGCCATATTCCTTATGTCTGAGATTTTATACCCTCTCACCATCATCTCCCCATTCCCCCCTCTCCCCAGTCTCTGTAATCAGTATTCTACTCTCTGCTTCTATGAGTTTGATTGTTTTAGATTCCACATATTGGTGAGAATATGGGAAGTTTGTCTTTCTCTGACTGGCTTATTTCACTTAGCCATAATGTTCTCCAATTCCACACCTGTTGTAAATGACAGACTATCCTTCTTTTTAAAGGCTGAATAGTATTTTTATTGTGTAGATATACCACATTTTAAATCTATTTATATGTTGATGGACACTTAAGTTGATTTCATAACTTGGCTATTGTGCGTAATGCAGCAAGGTACATGAGTGCAGACATCTCTTTGACAACTGATTTCAAATCTTTTGGGTAAATACTCAGAAGCGTAACTTCTGGATCATATAAAATAATTGTATTTTTAGTTTTCTGAGGAATCTCCATAGTTTCCCATAATGGCTAATTTACATTCTTACCAACTGTGTGCAAGGATTCCCTTTTCTCTACAACTTTGCTAACATTGTTATGTTTCATCTTTTTGATAATAGCCTTTCTGACAGATGTGAGATATGATCTTTTTGTAGTTTTAATTTGTATTTTCCTAATGATTAGCAATGTCGAGCATATTTTCATATATCTGTTGGCCATTTGAATGTCTTCTGAGAGTTTATTCAGGTTCCTTGCCCATTTAAAATGTTTTTAATTGACATAATAATTGTACATATTTATGGGGTACATAGTGATGTTTTGATACAGTGCATAGTAATCAGATCAGGGTAATTGGCATATCCATCATCTCAAACATTTATCATATCTTTGCACTGGGAATATTCAATATCCTCTTTCTGTGTATTCCTTATTCATTTTAAAATTGGGTGTTTTGTTTTCTTGCTATTCAGTTGTTTGAACTTGTATTTTTTGGATATTAACCCTTTAGTGAATGTATGACTTGCAAATATTTCCCTCCCATCTGTAGGTTGTCTCTGCACACTGTTTTTCCTTTTCTGTACAGAAGCTTTTTAGTTTGATGTAATTCTATTTGTCCAATTTTGCTTTTGTTGCCTGAGCTTTTCAGATCAAATCCACAAAATCATTGTTTAGACCAATGTCATGTGCTTTTTTCTCATTTTCTCCTATAGGTTGAGTACCCATTATCCAAAATGCTTGGGACCAGAGGTGTTTCAGATTTGGGATTGTTTTTTAGATTTTGGATATTTCATATACATAATGAAATATCTTGAGAATGGAACTCAAGTCTAAACATGTAATTTGTTTATGTTTTGTATATTTCGTATACACAGCCTGAAGGTAATTTTATACAATATTTTAAATAATTTTGGACATAAAACAAAGTTTATGTTAAGTAGGCATTTGTGGAATTTTGCACTGTGTCATGTCAGCACTCAAAAAATTTCCAAGTTTTGGATTTTCAGATTAGGGATGCTCAACCTGTAGTAGTTTTATAGTTTTTGGTCATTCATTTAATTCTAATCAATTTTGAGTTAAATTTTTGTATAGGATGTGAGATAAAAGCCCAATTTCATTCTTTTGCATATGGATATCCAGTTTTCCCAATACCATTTGTTAAGCAGACTATCCTTTTTCCCATTGTGTATTTTTGTCACTTTGCTGAAAATCAATTAATGGTACATACGTGGCTTTATTTCTGGTCTCTCTATTCTATTCTGTTGGTTGATGTATCTATTTTTTGTGTGTGCCAGTACCATATTTTAATTACTATAGCTTTGTAGTGTAGATATTAGTACTATAGCTTTGTAGAATAATCCTGTTGTAATTTTAATTTGTGTTTTCCTAATGATTAGCAATGTTAAGCATTTTTTCATATATCTGTCGACCAGATATATTTTGAAATTGTGTATTATACCTTTGTTCTTTCTGTTCATGATTGCCTTGCCTATATGCTTTTTTTGGTTGTTTCATATGAATTTTAGGATTGCCTTTTCTAATTCTGTGAAAAATGACATTGGAATTTTGATAGAGATTACATTGAATCTGTAGATAGCTTTGGGTAGTAGGGCATTTTAATGGTAATAGTTCTTCTAATCCATAAACACAGATATTTTTCCATTTATTTGTTTCTTTCAATTTCTTTCATCAATTTTTTACAGTTTTTAGGGTAGAAGTCTTTCACCTCCTTGATTAAATTTATTCTTAAGTATTTTATTTATTTGTTTGTTGCTATGTGAATGATTTGTTCTCTTGATTTCTTTTTTGGGTAATTCTTTGTTAGTGTATAGAAACGTGACTAATTTTTGTGTGTTGCCTTTGTATCCTGTAACTTTACTGGATTTTTAAAGTAGTTCTAAAAGTTTTTTAGTGGATTCTGTAGGGTTCTTAACGTAAAGATTATGTGACTAAAAAACAGTGACAAATTAACTTCTTCTTTTCATATTTGGATGCCTTTTATTTCTTTTTCTTGCCTAATTGCTCTGGCAAGAATTTCCAATGTTATGTTGAATAGAATTGGTGAAGAGTAGGCATCCTTGTCTTGTTCCAGATCTTAGAGGAAAGGCATTAGATTTTTCTCTTCACTGTTCAGTATAGTGTTACCTGTGGGCCATATGTGACCTTTATTATGTTAAGGTGCATTCCTTCTATACCCAATTTTGTGAGAGTTTCTGTCATGAAAGAATGTTAGTTTTGTCAAATGCTTTTTCTGCACCCAATGAGATGATCATATGGTTTTTGTCCTTCATTTTGTTAGTGTGATATATCACATTCATTTATTTGTGTATGTTAAATCACACTTGCATCCCAGGAATAAATCCCACTTGACTGTGATGGCTGATCCTTTTAATGTGTTAGTAAATTTGGCTTTCTAGTTTTTGAGGAGTTTTGCATTTATGTCCATCAAATATATTGGCCTGTAATTTTCTTGTAATGTTCTTATCTGACTTTGGTATAAGGGCAATACTGGCCTCATAAAAAGAGTTTGGAAGTATTCCTTCCTCTTCAATTTTTTTGAAATAGTTTGAGAAGGATTGATGTTAATTCTTCTTTGAATGTTTGGTAGAATTTAGCAGTAATGTCATCAGGTCCTGATCTTTGATGAGAGACTTTTTATTATGTATTCAATCTCTTTATCCATTATTGGTGTGTTCAGATTTTCTGTTTCTTCATGATTCAGTCTTGGTAGGTTTTATGTGTCTGGGAATTTACCCATTTCTTCTAGTTTATCAATTTTTGGTGCATAATTGTTCATAGTAGTCTCTTATGATTCTTTATATTTTTGTGGCATCATTTGTAATGTCTCTTCTTTCATCTCAGAGTTTATTTTTTTGAATCTTTTTTTTTTCCTTAGTCTAGTTAAAAGTTTGTTGATTCTGTTTCTCTTAAAAAAATCAGCTCGGCTGGGGATGGTGGCTCACACCTGTAATCCCAGCACTTTGGGAGGCCAAGGCAGGTGGATCACCTGAGGTCAGGAGTTCGAGACCAGCCTGACCAACATGGAGAAACCCCATCTCTACTAAAAATACAAAATTAACCAGCCATGGTGGCGCATGCCTGTAATCCCAGCTACTTGAGAGGCTGAGGTAGGAGAATCACTTGAACCTGGAAGGTGGAGGCTGCGGTGAGCTGAGATCTCGCCATTGCAATCCAGCCTGGGCAAGAAGAGTGAAACTCCATCTCAAAAAAGAAAAAAAAAAAAAAAGAAAAATCAGCTCTTAGTTTTGTTGATCTTTTGTGTTGTTTTTCTAGTCTCTATTTCATTTGTTTCTGCTTGATCTTTATTATTTACTTCCTTCTACTAACTTTGGGCTTACTATTTTTTGTTTATCTAGTTCCTTCCGGTGTAACATAAGTTGTTTATGTGAGATTTTTCTTTTTCAATATAGGCATTTACTGCTATAAACTTACCTCTTAGAACCACTTATGCTGTATCCCATAAGTTTTGATAATTGTGTTACCATTTTCACTTGTTGGAAGATTTTAAAATGTCCCTTTTAATTTTATCATTGACCCGTTGGTTGGTTATTAATTACCATGTTGGTTAATTTCCATGTATTTGTGAATTTTCCAAAACCTATTGTTATTGATTTTTAGTTTCACAGCATTGTGGTCAGAAAAGATACTTGTTATAATTTCTATCTTAAATTTACTTAGACTTGTTTTATGCCCCAGCATATGGTTTATTCTGGAGAATGTTCTGTGTGTACCTGAAAAAATGTTTATTTTGTTGCTGTTGGATAGAATGTTTCGTATGTGTCTCTTAGGTCCACTGGTCTAAAGTGTTGTTCAAGTCCCATGTTTTCTTATTACTTTTTTATCTGGATGACCTGTCCTTTGTTAAAAGTGGGATATTGGAGTTCATTACTTCACTGTATTGCAATCTATCTCTCCCTTTGGATCCTGTAATATTTGTTTATTTTACTTTCTTCTTATTATAGATTCAGAAAGTATAGGTGCAGGTTTGTTACATGGACATATTATATAATGCTTGGGTTTGGTCTTCAAGTGAACTCATCACCCAAATAGTAACACAGAACCCAATGGATGGTTTTACAACCCTTGTCCCATCCCACCTTCCCCACTTTTGGAATCCCCAGTGTTTATTGTTTCCACCTTAGTGTACATACATATCCATTGGTTAGCTCCCACTTATAAATGAGAATATGCTCACTTACTGGTTTTCTGTTTGAGTTATTTCACTTAGGAGGATGGCCTCCAGCTACATCCGTGTTTTGGGGAAGGATATGATTTCATTCTTTTTTTTTGGCTGTGTAGTATTCCATGTGGGGGAGATATATATCTATATATATGGATATATATACATATATACAAAAAATATACTTTATACATATATTTTTTATATATATGGATATATATATCCATATATATATAACCTAAGTGTTCATCAACAGTGGCTTGGATAAAGAAAATGTGATATATATATATCATTTATATATTATATATATTTATATATAATATAATATGTATATATAAATATAATATATAAATGTGATATATAATATATAATACAATATTTATATATAATATATACATATAATATATAAATGTGATATATATATCACATTTATGTGTGTGTGTATATATACACGTATATACGTGTATATATACATATATATATATAAAATCACATTTTTAGACCAGTGGAGATATATATATATATATATATATCACATTTTCTTCATCCAAGTCACTGTTGGTGAACACTTAGGTTGATTCCATGACTTTGCTATTGTTAATAGTCCTGTGCTGTGATAAAAATATGAGTGTAAGTGTCTTTTTTATATAGCAATTTCTTTTCCTTTAGGTAGGTACCAAGTACTCAGATTGCTGGATATATTTTATTTCTTTCAGAAATCTCCATACTGTTTTTCACAGGGGTTGAACTAACCTACATTCCCACCAAGAGTGTATAAGCATTCCCTTTTCTCCATATTCTCACCAACAACTGTTGTTTTTTGAATTTGTAGTAATAGCCATCCTGACTGTTATGAGATGGTATCTCATTGTGGTTTTGATTTACATTTCTCCGATGATTAGTCATGTTGACGATTTTCTCACATATTTGTTGGCTGCTTGCGTGGTCGTCTTTTGAGAAGTGTCTGTTCATGTCCTTTGCCCACTTTTAATTGGTGTTATTTGTTTTGATCTTGTTGATTTGTTTAATCTCATTATAGATTCTGGATTTTAATCCTTTGTTGGAGGCATAGTTTGCAAATATTTTCTCAGACTCTGTAGGTTGTCTTTTTACTCTGTTGATTGTTTCTTTGTTGTGCAGAAACTTTTTGGTTAAATTAAGTCCTATTTGTCAATTTTTGTTTTTGGTGTATTTCTTTTTCTAGATTTTGGTCATAAATTCTTTGCCTAGGCCAAAGTCCAGAAGAAGTTTTTCTAGATTTTCTTCTAAGATTTTTATAGTTTCAGGTCTTACATTTAAGTTTTTAATCCATCTTGAGTTAATTTTTGTGTATAGTGAGAGGTAGGGGTCTAGTTTCATTCTTCTGCATATGGCTAGCCAGTTTTCCCGGCACTGTTTATTAAATAGGGTGTCATTTCCCTATTGGAAATTTTTGTCAACTTTGTTGAAGACCAGTTGGTGATAGGTGTGTGGCTTTATTTCTTGGTTCTCTATGCTGTTCCATTGCTCTATATGTCTATTTTTGTACCGGTACCATGTTGTTTGTATACTATAGCCTTGTAGTATAGACGGAAGTCTGGTAATGTAATGCTTCTGGCTTTTTTCTTTTTGCTTAGGATTGCCTTGGCTATTCAGGTTCTTCTGGTTTCATGTGAATTTTAAAATTGTTTTTTTTAATTCTGTGAAAAATAACATTAGTAATTTGTTAGAAATTGCATTGAACCTGTAGATTGTTTTGGTCATTATAGTCATTTTAACATTAATGATTCCTCCTATCCACAAACATGCGATGTTTTTCCATTCGTTTGTGTCATCTGTGATTAATTTCATAAGTGTTTTTTAGTTCTCCTTGTAGAGGTCTTTTGCCTCCCTGGTTAAATGTATTCCAAGATATTGTATTTTTTTGTGGCAATTATAAATTTGATTGAGTTCTTGGTTTAGTTCTTAGCTTCACCATTGTTGTTGAATAGAAATGCTACTTATTTTCATGCATTAATTTTGTATCCTAAAACTTTACCAAAGTCATTTATCAGGACTAGGTGTCTTTTGAAGGAATTTTTAGGGTGTTGTAGGGTTTAGCGTCATGTCATCAGCAAACACAGTTAAGCTGACTGTGTCTATTCCTTTTTGGATGTCTTTTATTTATTCATTTTGCACAAGTACCCTTGCTATGGCTTCCAGTACTATGTTGAATAGAAGTGGTGAGAGTGGACATTCTGTCTTCTTCCAGTTCTTTGGGGAAATGCTTTCAAGTTTTCCCAATTCAGTCTGATGTTCCCTAGGGGTTTGTCATTTGTGGGTCTTATTATTTTGAGGTATGTTCCTTCAATGCCTAGTTTGTTGAAGATTTTTGTCATGAAAAGATGTTGGGTTTATCAAGTGCTTTTTCTGTGTCTATTGATATGCTCATGTGCCTTTTGGTTTTAATTTTGTTTATGTAGTGAATCACATTTACTGATTTATGTATGTTGAACCATCTTTGCATCCCAGGAACAAAACTGCTTAATCATGAATTATCTTTTTGACATGCTGCTGGATTCTGTTTGCTAGCATTTTATTGAGGATTTTGCATCTGTGTTCATTGAAGATATTGGCCTGCAGTTTTCTTTTTTGTTGTTGTTGTGTCCTTGCCAGATTTTGGTATCAGGATGATGCTGGTTTTGCAACATAAGTTTGAGAGAATCCTTCCTCCTCAATTTTTTGGAATAGTTTCAGTAAGATTGGTAGTAGCTATTCTTCGTATGTCTGGTAGAATTTGTGAATTTGTCTGGTCCTGGACTTTCTTTTTTGTTGGTAGATTTTTTGGTACTAATTCAATTTGTAACTTTTTATTGGTCTATTCCGGATTTCAATTTCTTTCTATTCAATCTTGGAAGGTTGTGTGTTTCTTGGAATGTATCCATTTCCTCTAGGTTTTCTAGTTTTTGTGCATGGAGGAGATGTTCATAGTAGTCTCTGAGGATCTTTTAAAAAAAATTCTGTGGTATCAGTCATAATGTCACCTTTGTTGTTTCTGGTTGTGCTTATTTAATCTCTCTTTTTTATTGATTAATCTAGCTAGCCAACTATGAATTTTGTTTATTCTTTCAAAAAACCAACGTTTTCTTCTGTTGATTTTTTTGTATAATGATTTTGGTTTCAATTTTATTTAGTTCTTCTCTGGTTTTTGTTATTTCTTTTCTTCTGCTAGCTTTGGTTTAGTTTGTTTTTGTTTTTCTAGCTCCTTTAGGTATGATGTTAGGTTGTTAATTTGAGATCTTTCTATCGTTTTGATGTGGGCATTTAGCATTATAAACTTTCCTCTTAACACTGCTTTTGCTATATCCAAGGGGTTTTGATATGTTGCATCTTTATTTCCATTTGTTTGTAAATTTTTTTTTTTATTTTTGCATTAATTTCATTATTCATCCAAAAGTCATTCAGGAGCAAGTTATTTCATTCACATGTATGTATGTGGTTTTAAGAGTTCATCTTGGTATTTATTTCTAATTTTATTCTACTACTGTCCAAGAAGATGCTTGATATTATTTTAATTTTTAAAAATTTATTGAGACTTGCTTTATGACCAAGCTTGTGGTCAACTTGAGAGAATATTCCATGTGCAGATGAGAAAAATGTGTATTCTGTGGTTGTTGGGTGGAGTATTCTGGAGACATCTATTAGGTCCACTTAATTAAGAGTCCAGTTTAAGTACAGAGTTTCTTTGCTAGTTTTCTGCCTCAGTAACCTATCTAGTGCTGTCAGTGAGGTGTTGAAGTCCCTCACTATTATTGTATGGCTGTCTATCTCTTTTCATAGGTCTAGTAGTATTTATTTTATAAATCTAGGTGCTCTGATGTTCAGTGAATATGTATTTAGGATAGTTTAATCTTTTTGTTGAATTGAACTTTTTATCATTATATAATGTCCTTCTTTGTATTTTATTTTACTGTTAAAGTCTGTTTAATACAAGATACAAAAATAGAAACACTTGCTGTTTTTTTTTTTTGTTTTTCATTTTCATGATAGAGCTTTCTCCATCCCATTACTTTGAACCTGTGGGTGACATTATATGTGAGATGGGTGTGTTGAAGGCAGCAGATGGTTGTCTTTTTGTTTTTTTTTGTGTTTTAGAATCCAATTTGCCACTCTATGTCTTTTAAATGGAGCCTTTAGGTCCTTTACAGTCAAGGCTAATTTTGATATGTGAGATTTTCTTCCTGACATAGTATTGTTAGCTATTTGCTTTGTAGTCTCAATTGTGTGATTGATTTAAAGGACATGTGAACTTTGTAATTATGTTTGTTTTTATGGTAGCAAGTTTCGTCCTTTAATTTCCATGTTTATAACTCTTTTGAACGTTTCTTGTAGGGCTAGTCTGGTAGTGACAAATTCCCTTAGCATTTGCTTGTTTGGGAAATGCCTTATTTCTCCTTCCTTTGTGAAGTTTAGTTTGACAGGACAAAAAATTCTTGGTTGGCATTGTTTTTTTTTAAAGGAGGCTAAAAATAGGCCCCTAATCTCTTCTGATTTTTAAGGTTTCCACAGAGGAGTCTGCTGTTATTCTGATGGTATTTCCTTTATACATAATTTTGCTCCTTTCTCTAGCTGCCTTTAAGATTTTTTATTTTGCATTGACCTTGGATAGTCTGATGACTATATATCTTAGTGATGGTAGTCTTGTATAGTATCTTACAGGTGTTCTCTGAATTTCATATATCTGGATGTCAACCTCTCTAGAAAGATTGGGGAAATTTTTCTGAATTATTTTCTTAAATATTTTCTCTAAGTTGCTTACTTTTTTTTCTCTCCTTAGAATGCCAATAAATCACAGGTTTGGTTGCTGTACATAATTCCGTATTTCTTAAAAGCTTTGTTCATTTTTAAAGTTATTTTTTCTTTATTTTTGTCTGACTAGGTTAATTCGAAGGACTTGTCTTCAAGCTCTAAAATTCTTTCTTCTGCTTGGTTCAGTGAATCGTTAAAGTTTCTGATGGTATTTTGAAATTCCTTTAGTAAAATTTTCAATTCCAGAAGTTCTATTTTTTAAAAATACAGTTATCTTGTCTTTTATATTCTGAATTGTTTTTCTGGTTTCTTTGTGTTGAACTTCAACTTTCTCTTGATCTGAGTTTCCTTGCAATCCATATTTTGAATCCTTAAACTGTCATTTCAGACTTTTCATTTTGGTTAGGATCCATTGCTGGAAAATGAGTGCAATCCTTTGGAGGGGCCAAGACCTCTGGCTTTTTGTACTGCTGTAGTTCTTGCGCTGATTACTTCTCATCTGAGGGGCTTATCTTTTAATTTGTTGTCACTTGAATGATACTTAAAATTTTTTTCCCTCGAAGGTATGACTGTGGTATATGTTGTGTAGGACTGTTCATCTTCATTTCTGGATGCTTTCTGGAGGCCAAGGTTCTGTGTAGGTTTTTTGGTTGTTGATAGCTTCTGTGCAGTTTCTTTCTCAGACGCTACTTGTTGTAGCAATGTAATGGATATATGAACTGACACACTACCTCCTGCATGGCTGAGGGTGCATAGGTCTCAGGAAGCTTATTCTATGCACTAGCACTGAGCCCTTCTCACAGCATGTTTTTTATTTGGTAGTGCAGTTCAGGCTCCAGTCCAATGGGGGGAGATTGTGTTGCAGTGCACTGAGGTTTCAGGTAAAGGGGCAGGGCCCGGGGCACTAGCTCCTCATCCTGAGCAGGTAGGAATGTGATCCATTTCCCTAACATTCCCCCATCACAGGGCTCATGTCCTTCAGTTCATATAGACTTTGTCATTTGGTTTCTGGCTGCAGTGCTGCTGTGAACTATGGATACTACCTTCTGGCTGCTACTACCAAAATAGACTTGAGACAGAGCCTCTTCCCCCAGTCCAGAGAATACAACTCTGCAGTTTGACTGTTCCCTGTTTCTGAGATGCTGCTGCTCTGTTTAGGGACAGGGAGTTGGGCCCCACCTTTTGTGCAAGCCCAAGCAGCACAGTCTCACTTACAGCCGGGGTGGAGCTACCACAAAATCATGAAAAACACTTTCTTCAGGGGCAAATGCACTGGCCCCCAGTGGGGAGAAGCATTGCTGCATCTGCAATGGTGGACAGAGGAATGGGTGGGAGATGATTCCCCTCTCCATTTTCATTCCCAGCTGTTGGTGCTTCCCCCTTCAGCTATTGGCACTGCACACACCCCACATTCCTTTGTTCCAAGGGAGGATTTGGTGGGCACACTCTTCCCTTCCTTAG
The DNA here is from genome assembly GCF_000001405.40 of Homo sapiens. Classification (NCBI taxonomy): domain Eukaryota; kingdom Metazoa; phylum Chordata; class Mammalia; order Primates; family Hominidae; genus Homo; species Homo sapiens. The sequence goes on along the minus strand of NC_000006.12, from coordinate 104,381,499 downwards.
CAGTGGCCCACACCAATTGCTGTATTTCCAGCAGTCCTGCAGCTCCCTGAGGATATACTTGTCCTCTGTGCTTCCACAAGTTAGAGCAGCTTGGGGAGTATGTTTGTGGGAGATCTGGTGATGTGACTGAGGGCAGAGATTCCCCAGGCAGGCCAGTGGCCCACCATAGGTACCCAACCACTGTGGCACCCATTGTTTCAGGTCAGTTCTGAGAGGAGTGTGGGCTTGCCTATGTGAGCTGGCCATGCCACCTGGTTCTCTGTTCCTAGAAAGTTCCCAAATTGCCACTGATAGTTTGCCCTGGGTCTTGAGGGTAAAGGGGATCCACAACAGTTTGATGGTCAGCAGATTGTTGCAGGGGTGAGCAGAACAGAGGAGCTCTCCCAACTGTCCTTTCCACTGGACTCTGAGTTCCTCAGGTGTCAATCTCTGCCAGACTCTTGCTGCTTTCCCTTTCTGCACTCCAGATTCTTCCCATGGGCACTCCAACAGTTCCTGGCTTTCTTCCCTCAGTTTTTCATTCAGAACATGTTCAATCACTAGTAACCTTGATCTTCTTTCTGAGAAGAACTGGCTTCCAATGTCCCTAGTCAGCCTTCTTGAAAACAATCTTTCATAATATTTAAAAAATATATTTAGGTACTCCAATTTTGAGGGCATATGTATTAACAATTGTTATGTCTTGTTGATGAATTTACCCTCTTATCATTATATAATGCCCTTCTTAGTTTCTTTTTTAAAAAATTTTATTATTATTATACTCTAAGTTTTAGGGTACATGTGCACAACGTGCAGGTTTGTTACATATATATACATGTGCCATGTTGGTGTGCTGCACCCATTAACTCGTCATTTAGCATTAGGTATACCTCCTAACGCTATCCCTCCCCCCTCCCCCCACCCCACAACAGTCTCCAGTGTGTGATGTTCCCCTTCCTGTGTCCATGTGTTCTCATTGTTCAATTCCCACCTATGAGTGAGAATATGTGGTGTTTGGTTTTTGTTCTTGTGATAGTTTGCTGAGAATGATGGTTTCCAGCTTCATCCATGTCCCTACAAAGGACATGAACTCATCCTTTTTTATGGCTGCATAGTATTCCATGGTGTATATGTGCCACATTTTCTTAATCCAGTCTATCATTGTTGGACATTTGGGTTGGTTCCAAGTCTCTGCTATTATGAATAGTGCCGCAATAAACATACGTGTGCATGTGTCTTTATAGCAGCATGATTTATAGTCCTTTGGGTATATACCCAGTAATGGGATGGCTGGGTCAAATGGTATTTCTAGTTCTAGATCCCTGAGGAATTCCCACACTGACTTCCACAATGGTTGAACTAGTTTACAGTCCCACCAACAGTGTAAAAGTGTTCCTATTTCTCCACATCCTCTCCAGCACCTGTTGTTTCCTGACTTTTTAATGATAGCCATTCTAACTGGTGTGAGATGGTATCTCATTGTGGTTTTTATTTGCATTTCTCTGATGGCCAGTGATGATGAGCATTTTTTCATGTGTTTTTTTGGCTGAATGAATGTATTCTTTTGAGAAGTGTCTGTTCATATCCTTTGCCCACTATTTGATGGGGTTGTTTGTTTTTTTCTTGTAAATTTGTTTGAGTTCATTGTAGATTCTGGATATTAGCCCTTTGTCAGATGAGTAGATTGCAAAAATTTTCTCCCATTCTGTAGGTTGCCTATTCACTCTGATGGTAGTTTCTTTTGCTGTGCAGAAGCTCTTTAGTTTAATTAGATCCCATTTGTCAATTTTGGCTTTTGTTGCCATTGATTTTGGTGTTTTAGACATGAAGTCCTTGCCCATGCCTATGTCCTGAATGGTATTGCCTAGGTTTTCTTCTAGGGTTTTTATGGTTTTAGGTCTAACATTTAAGTCTTTAATCCATCTTGAATTAATTTTTGTATAAGGTGTACGGAAGGGATCCAGTTTCAGCTTTCTCCGTATGGCTAGCCAGTTTTCCTAGCACCATTTATTAAATAGGGAATCCTTTCCCCATTGCTTGTTTTTGTCAGGTTTGTCAAATATCAGATAGTTGTAGATATGCGGCATTATTTCTGAGGGCTCTGTTCTGTTCCATTGGTCTATATCTCTGTTTTGGTACCAGTACCATGCTGTTTTGGTTACTGTAGCCTTGTAGTATAGTTTGAAGTCAGGTAGCGTGATGCCTCCAGCTTTGTTCTTTGGCTTAGGATTGACTTGGTAGTGCGGGCTCTTTTTTGGTTCCATATGAACTTTAAAGTAGTTTTTTCCAATTCTGTGAAGAAAGTCATTGGTAGCTTGATGGAGATGGCATTGAATCTATAAATTACGTTGGGCAGTATGGCCGTTTTCACGATATTGATTCTTCCTACCCATGAGCATGGAATATTCTTCCATTTGTTTGTATTCTCTTTTATTTCCTTGAGCAGTGGTTTGTAGTTCTCCTTGAAGAGGTCCTTCACATCCCTTGTAAGTTGGATTCCTAGGTATTTTATTCTCTTTTTAGCAATTGTGAATGGGAGTTCACTCATGATTTGGCTGTCTGTCTGTTATTGGTGTATAAGAATACTTGTGATTTTTGCACACTGATTTTGTATCCTGAGACTTTGCTGAAGTTGCTTATCGGCTTAAGGAGATTTTGGGCTGAGACGATGGGGTTTTCTAGATATACAATCAAGTCATCTGCAAACAGGGACAATTTGACTTCTTTTCCTAATTGAATGCCCTTTATTTCCTTCTCCTGCCTGATTGCTCTGGCCAGAACTTCCAACACTATGTTGAATAGGAGTGGTGAGAGAGGGCATCTCTGTCTTGTGTCGGTTTTCTAAGGGAATGCTTCCAGTTTTTGCTCATTCAGTATGATATTGGCTGTGGGTTTGTCATAAATAGCTCTTATTATTTTGAGATACATCCCATCAATACCTAATTTACTGAGAGTTTTTAGCATTAAGGGCTGTTGAATGTTGTCAAAGGCCTTTTCTGCATCTATTGAGATAATCATGTGGTTTTTGTCTTTGGTTCTGTTTATATGCTGGATTATGTTTATTGATTTTCGTATGTTGAACCAGCCTTGCATCCCAGGGATGAAGCCCACTTGATCATGGTGGATAAGCTTTTTGATGTGCTGCTGGATTCGGTTTGCCAGTATTTTATTGAGGATTTTTGCATCAATGTTCATCAAGGATATTGGTGTAAAATTCTCTTTTTTTGTTGTGTCTCTGCCAGGCTTTGGTATCAGGATGATGCTGGCCTCATAAAATGAGTTAGGGAGGATTCCCTCTTTTTCTATTGATTGGAATAGTTTCAGAAGGAATGGTACCAGCTCCTCCTTGTACCTCTGGTAGAATTCAGCTGTGAATCCATCTGGTCCTGGACTTTTTTTGGTTGGTAGGCTATTAATTATTGCCTCAATTTCAGAACCTGTTATTGGTCTATTCAGAGACCAATAACAACTTCTTCCTGGTTTAGTCTTGGGAGAGTGTACGTGTCAAGGAATTTATCCATTTCTTCTAGATTTTCTAGTTTATTTGCGTAGAGGTGTTTATAGTATTCTCTGAAGGTAATTTGTATTTCTGTGGGATCAGTGGTGATATCCCCTTTATCATTTTTTATTGCATCTATTTGAGTCTTCTCTCTTTTCTTCTTTATTAGTCTTGCTAGCAGTCTATCAATTTTGTTGATCTTTTTAAAATACCAGCTCCTGGATTCACTGATTTTTTGAAGGGTTTTTTGTGTCTCTATTTCCTTGAGTTCTGCTCTGCTCTTAGTTATTTCTTGCTTTCTGCTAGCTTTTGAATGTGTTTGCTCTTGCTTCTCTAGATCTTTTAATTGTGATGTTAGGGTGTCAATTTTAGATCTTTCCTGCTTTCTCTTGTGGGCATTTAGTGCTATAAATTTCCCTCTACAGACTTCTTTGAATGTGTCCCAGAGATTCTGGTGTGTTGTGTCTTTGTTCTCGTTGGTTTCAAAGAACATCTTTATTTCTGCTTCATTTCGTTATGTACCCAGTAGTCATTCAGGAACAGGTTGTTCAGTTTCCATGTAGTTGAGCGGTTTTGAGTGAGATTCTTAATCCTGAATTCTAGTTTGATTGCACTGTGGTCCGAGAGTCAATTTGTTATAATTTCTGTTCTTTTACGTTTGCTGAGGAGTGCTTTCCTTCCAACTATGTGGTCAATTTTGGAATAGGTGTGGTGTGGGGCTGAAAAGAATGTATATTCTGTTGATTTGGGGTGGAGAGTTCTGTAGATGTCTATTAGGTCCACTTGGTGCAGAGTTGAGTTCAATTCCTGGATATCCTTGTTAACTTTCTGTCTTGTCGATCTGTCTAATGTTGACAGTGGGGTGTTAAACTCTCCCATTATTATTGTGTGGGAGTCTAAGTCTCTTTGTAGGTCACTAAGGACTTGCTTTATGAATCTGGGTGTTCCTGTATTGGGTGCATATATATTTGGGATAGTTAGCTCTTCTTGTTGAATTGATCCCTTTACCATTATGTAATGGCCTTCTTTGTCTCTTTTGATCTTTGTTAGTTTAAAGTCTGTTTTATCAGAGACAGGATTGCAACCCCTGCCTTTTTTTGTTTTCCATTTGCTTGGTAGATCTTCCTCCATCCCTCTTATTTTGAGCCTATGTGTGTCTCTGCACGTGAGATGGGTTTCCTGAATATAGCACACTGATGGGTTCTTGACTCTTTATCCAATTTGCCAGTCTGTGTTTCTTAATTGGAGCATTTAGCCCATTTACATTTAAGGTTAATATTGTTATGTTTGAATTTGATCCTGTCATTATGATGTTAGCTGGTGATTTTGCTCATTAGTTGATGCAGTTTCTTCCTAGTCTCGATGGTCTTTACAATTTGGCATGTTTTTGCAGTGACTGGTACCGGTTGTGCCTTTCCGTGTTTAGTGCTTCCTTCAGGAGCTCTTTTAGGGCAGACCTGGTGGTGACAAAATCTCTCAGCATTTGCTTGTCTGTAAAATATTTTATTTCTCCTTCACTTATGAAGCTTAGTTTGGCTGGATATGAAATTCTGGGTTGAAAATTCTTTCCTTTAAGAATGTTGAATATTGGTCCCCACTCTCTTCTGGCTTGTGGGGTTTCTGCCGAGAGATCAGCTGTTAGTCTGATGGGCTTCCCTTTGTGGGTAACCTGACCTTTCTCTCTGGCTGCCCTTAACATTTTTTCCTTCATTTCAACTTTGGTGAATCTGACAATTATGTGTCTTGGAGTTGCTCTTCTCGAGGAGTATCTTTGTGGCATTCTCTGTATTTCCTGAATCTGAATGTTGGCCTGCCTTGCTAGATTGGGGAAGTTCTCCTGGATAATATCCTGCAAAGTGTTTTCCAACTTGGTTCCATTCTCCCCATCACTTTCAGGTACACCAATCAGACATAGATTTGGTCTTTTCACATAGTCCCATATTTCTTGGAGGCTTTGTTCGTTTCTTTTTATTCTTTTTTCTCTAAACTTCTCTCCTCGCTTCATTTCATTCATTTCATCTTCTATCACTGATACCCTTTCTTCCAGTTGATCGCATCAGCTACTGAGGCTTGTGCATTCGTCACGTAGTTCTCGTGCCTTGGTTTTCAGCTCCATCAGGTCCTTTGAGGACTTCTCTGCATTGGTTATTCTAGTTAGCCATTCGTCTAATTGTTTTTCAAGGTTTTTAACTGCTTTGCCATTGGTTCAAACTTCCTCCTTTAGCTCGGAGTAGTTTGATCTTCTGAAGCCTTCTTCTCTCAACTCGTCAAAGTCATTCTCCGTCCAGCTTTGTTCCATTGCTGGTGAGGAGCTGCATTCCTTTGGAGGAGGAGAGGCACTCTGCTTTTTAGAGTTTCCAGTTTTTCTGTTCTGTTTTTTCCCCATCTTTGTGGTTTTACCTACCTTTGGTGTTTGATGATGGTGACGTACAGATGGGTTTTTGGTGTGGATGTCCTTTCTGTTTGTTAGTTTTCCTTCTAACAGTCAGGACACTCAGCTGCAGGTCTGTTGGAGTTTGCTGGAGGTCCACTCCAGACACTGTTTGCCTGGGTATCAGCGGCGGTGGCTGCAGAACAGTGGATATTGGTGAACCGCAAATGCTGCTGCCTGATCATTCCTCTGAAAGTTTTGTCTCAGAGGAGTACCCGGCCGTGTGAGGTGTCAGTCTGCCCCTACTTGGGGGTGCCTCCCAGTTAGGCTACTCGGGGGTCAGGGACCCACTTGAGGAGGCAGTCTGCGCATTCTCAGGTCTCAAGCTGCATGCTGGGAGAACCACTATTCTCTTCAAATTTGTCAGACAGGGACATTTAAGTCTGCAGAGGTTACTGCTGCCTTTTGTTTGTCTGTGCCCTGCCCCCAGAGGTGGAGCCTACAGAGGCAGGCAGGCCTCCTGGATCTGTGGTGGGATCCATCCAGTTCAAGCTTTCCAGCCACTTTGTTTACCTACTCAAGCGTCGGCAATGGTGGGCGCCCGTCCCCCAGCCTCACTGCCACCTTGCAGTTTGATCTCAGACTTTTGTGCTCGCAATGAGCGAGGCTCCGTGGGCGTAGGACCCTCTGAGCCAGGTGCGGGATATAATCTCCTGGTGTGCCGTTTGTTGAGCCCATTGGAAAAGTGCAGTATTAGGGTGGGAGTGACCCGATTTTCCAGGTGCCATCTGTCACCCCTTTCTTTGACTAGGAAAGGGAATTCCCTGACCCCTTGCGCTTCCTGGGTGAGGCGATGCCTCGCCCTGCTTCTGCTCACACGTGGTGTGCTGCACCCAGTGTCCTGCACCCATTGTCCAGCACTCCCCAGTGAGATGAACCCGGTACCTCGGTTGGAAATGCAGAAATCACCCATCTTCTGCGTCACTCATGCTGGGAGCTGTAGACTGGAGCTATTCCTATTCGGCCATCTTGGCTCCACCCCCCCTTTGTTTCTTTTTATAGTTTTTGACTTAAACTCTATTTTGTGTGATATAATTTTAGCTATACCTGCTCTCCTTTGGTTACATTTACATGGAATAGCTTTTTCCTTCCCATCACTTTTGGTCTATGTGTGTTCTTAAGACTGAGGTTATTCTCTTGGTGGCAGAATACATTTAGGTCTTATAAAAATTCTTTTAGTCATTCTATGTATCGTTATTGGAGAATTTAATTCATTTACATTCAAGGTAATAATTGATAGGTGAAGACTTACTATTTCCATCATGTTAGTTGTTTTTTGATTGTTTTGTATATATTTTCTTTCTTCCTCTCCTGTGTTTCCTTGTGGCCTTATGGTTTTCTGTAGTGGTATGCCTTGAATCTTTTCCATTTTTGTTTTGTGTTTACACTAAGGACTTTTACCTTATGGTTACCATGAGGATTATGAAGAATATCTTACACTTATAGCATCCTATTTCAAGTTCATAAGAACTTAGCTTTGATTGCATAAAAACAAAAACAAATCAACAACAACAACAACAATCTCACTAGTTCTTGGTAACAAAAACTTTGACTGTTTTGTTCATTGCTCTGTTCTGTGCACTTTGAAGAATACCTAGAATGTAATTGGTGCTGAATAAGTATTTGTTTAATGATTGAATGCAGGAAGCATTGAATGGCTATATAATTGATGCAGCAAGGGATTGTGAATTACTCCGAAAGTAAAGCATGGCATTGTAGAATCAGGATTATTGCAGTAGGAAGGGAACTTGGATTGTTCAGTTGAATTCCCTTTTTTTGAAGATGAATAACTGAAGTAGTTCCAGATTACATAGCTAGAGGTAGAGATAATTCTAATTTGTAGCTATCTGCGGCCTTCATTCTAGTGTTCTTTTTATACATCATGCTGGGCTCTGGATTATTATTCTTGTTCCTGGTAGTATAATTTTATTGAGGGCTCTATAATTCAGCAAAAACTTCTCAGTATAGATTTTCATTGAGCTGATAAGACTGAAATCCGTAATACATACATTTTCTTTAGATTGTCTCAGACATTATCTTGCTAATATTACCCATCTTTTTTTCCTCTACTTTGGTATAATTTACTCTATCTAATGTTGATTACCTTTTCCCCTTCTCACTGTACTCTGCTGCCTTATCTATAACTGTAATTTCTTCTACTATTTTTAACTGTGATGTCCCCTGAATCTTCAACTCAAATCTTCCTTCTGAGCTCCAGATTCACCTAATAGATATTTGTGCTCAGGTGACCACCACAAATTAATGATATTTTAAACTGTACTTCATCTTCTTCTGCCTTTCTTCACCAGAGTCCCCAGGCAAAGTGCCCCTCCCTCTAACAGTACTGTTCTTCTCCCTGCATTTCATGCCCCACAGATGATGCCACCACCAATTAAGTCAGTTACGTAGCTCTCTGGGAATCATTCTTGAATCTTTTCTCTTGCCCTTCTCTCATGTTGAATCTGTTGCAAAATCTGCAGCCTCCTTGCTTGCAGATCTTTCTCCAATTTATTCATTTCTTTCTATCCCATATACCATATGCCCTGAATTAGTTTCTCCTATCACTTTTTTTGATCATTGCAATAAATCTCTGATATACCTTCCTCTGGTTTTCCACAGTGTTGCCACACCTTTTGAAAAAGCAAATCTTATTATGATTCTCCTCTGCTTAGAATTATTTAACAACTCTCTATCATTTCCAAGAATAAAATCTTAATGTATTAACATGACATAAATTGCCCTTTGTGATTTGACTCCTGCTAACCTTTCTAGGCCCACCTCTTTGCTCTTCCTATCCTCTCTTCTTTCCAACAGTGTTGAGACCTGGAAATGTCTGGTTATTCCCTTCACTCCCACTGTCTCTTGGCTTTTGCTTGACTGCTCTGCCCATTCTTTTTGCAAGGAAGGTGCTGTCTCTTTCAAAGAACCTCTATAATTTTCCTTTTCCTCCCCTAGACTGGGTTTGATGCTGCTCTTTGGTGTTCTCATTGTTCCTATGTAGGCATCCCTAATAGCATCAGTAAAGTGCACAGTCTTAATAAAGTTACCTATTGAACTCGTCCATTAAACTGTCAGATTACCTATTGAATTCTTCATTGAGGGCTAGACTGTGTCCATATCTCTTGTTTATTGAGCATTTAGAAGAATATCTGACATATGAGCATTGTACAAAAGGCTAACTGAGATGTGTGCAGAGTAGCATCTGCTTATATATGCACTGTCACCCAGCATATTTGATGATAATGAGTGTTAAACTTGTCGTTCCACCACTGATATGTATTAACTTAGGTCTGGCCTCATTCACAGTGCTTTCCTGGTTTTAATTATAATTAATATAATCAAATTGTGGTTGCCACTTTTATAGCACTCAAATTTTATACATACTTACAAAGATAGTTTAAACATTTTAACCCCTGTTAAAAAACACAATTTGTGACATTATTATTACTACATTTCTACAAATGAGAGAACTGAGCAATGAAGAGAAACTGACCTATTCAAGCTCACACACATAGTAAGTCATGAACCGGGAGTTTGAATCCAGTGTTTTGGAGTCTTTGGTAAGAGTCTTGCAAGCATCTCTATTTGACCCTACGTACTTTATTTACTTTACTTACAGCATATAAAAGGTATCTCTCTTTGCTTTGTATACTCCTCAGTGGTCTAGAGAAAAACATTCCAGAGGAAAAAATCCTGTACCACCTCAGAGTATTGGAGCAAAGAGAAACTGATAATACTATATGATAATATTTACTAATAATACTATATGATAATGTTTTCATTTAAAAGACGGTGGGAGAAGGAAGAAGAAAAAAGATGAGAAAAGAAAGGAGAGTACATAAAGGGAAGTATTTTGAATCTTAAGGGATGCATTTGTTCAACCTGTGAACAGTTTAACTTGTAAATGCAAAATTGTTCTTAATGGAAACTCCGCAGAGTTTTAAAATTTCTCACTTTTTTTTTTCCAATTTGGCTTTCTTAAGTTTCTTATTTTATTATACAGAATGAAATACCCAGTCACTTAAAGATAGCTACTCTGGTGATATTTGAGAACAACAATGAATTGAGCACCAGAAAACACATAAGAAATCCTATTCCCATGACACTTTTTTTAAAGGACATATTTGCAGGCTCTAAGAATTATTCAAGCTTCACATCCAAACAAATGCTCAAGCCTTTGATGTATTTTTAGTTGTTCAATAGGTTAAATCAGCATTCTGTATTATTTCTTCATTTCTATTTTTCTTTATACCTGGTATTGCCACCTAGGACCTAATTTCTAGCTACAAGGCAGGGCAGAAGGCTTGCAGCCACTGCTACGATCAATGCTAATGTTACTCTTTAGCCTGCTAGAAGTTGGACCTGCGTATTTCTCTGGAGCCCCAAATCCTCGGGTCACAACACTAACATCTCCCAGCACACGGCCCAATCTTATTTAACCCCGATTCTGGGCATTGTGCATTTTAAAACTCTTTCACTTTCCTGAACAGATCTCCCACTGACTTAATGCTGTAGGCATGGAGTTCTTTTTATTTTCATGTAAGAGAAAGTATGCTACAAGAAGCAAGCAATAAGTCAACAAGAATTGAATGTATGCACACACATTGAAATAGATGGTGCAGAGACCTTATCTTAATTTATTACAGATGCAAATGGCTGATTACAAATTGGTGCTATGGGTAATTGAGTTTCAAATATGTTTAGTAACTAAAGTGGAGGTACAATTTTATATTTCGAAGTTTTAAATTTTAATTACTGACAAGTCATCATTTTAGAGCAAAAATGAATTTAGGAAAAATCTTTATAAGAACAGCTTCAATGGCCTTCTTTGACATTGAAAAAGGTATCATTGGCTGTCATCTCTAACTGACTTTTAGGAACAGATGAGGTATTTGAATGTTGACTGTAATGATAAAAAGCGGATAGGTCTAACCCAAGTTCCAGTTGCCCTAGTTCATTTTCTTTTGCTGTAAGTGAATATCAGAGACTAGGCAATTTACAAAGAAGGTAAGTAAGTTTATTTTTTACTGTTAAGGAGGCTGGAAAGTTTAAAAGCATGGCTCCAGCATTTGGTGAGAGCCCTTTTGCTGAGTCATAAAATGACAGTGGGCATCACATGGTGAGAGAACAAGAGTATGCTGGTTCAGCTCTCTGTTCCTCTTCTTATAAAGCTACCAGTCCCATAATGAGGGCTCCAGGCCGATGACCTTATCTAATCCTAATTACCTCCCAAAGGTCCAACCTCCAAACACTATCAACCTATAATCTGGAGATTAAGTTTCCAACACATTAAATTTGGCAGACATATTTAAATCATAGCACTGGTGAATGAAGTCTTCTCATTGGCTTTTCCCACCATTACCACCAGATTTATTTTTGTATTATCTAGCATTTGCAGTTCATTTAGTTAACATTAAAAGGAATTGGACATCTTTTCCAAGGAGAAGTGTGTCAATCTGGAAGGTTGTTTGAACACATACTTCTAAGAACAACTGTTTCAAATATGTTATGCGTGAAGATTTCCCGAATCTGGCTTCTATGTTTGCTAAAGACAGAAATCTTCAAGTGTCTGAGTTGTATTGTGATGCATGTCTTATCAATCAAAGAGGCTCTGACTGAAGTATAGCCATTTTGAGGTTTGGAGCCCCAGAAGTTGAAATAGAGAAATAGTATTGTCCAGTGATTGTAGGATGGAAGTGCAAATTAACACTCCATATGATTTTCTCATTTAATAAGGACTATTTATAGGATGTTGTGGATCTCAGGGCTTCATTTGCTCAGCATTTTCTCTGGTAGGCTTTCTATCTGTGACTTTACTCCCTTGATCACAACAGTTGATAGTTGCCCCAAGTAGAGACAAACATAATCTTCCTCACATAGGAACTGAGCCTTGAGAAACAGAAGGAAGGATGGAAGGAGTGGGAGCTAAATCACTTGATGGCACCGTCTCCATGAATTTCTGCTGCAGAAATTCTTGGAGATGTGCTGATACTTGCTCTTCTTGAAGCTAGAGAAAAAATTTCTCTCCCATTTAAAATTTCTTTGAGATAACTGGGTCTGTTTCTTTTGCCTGAAAATGAAGAATCTGAACTGACTCAACCTATTCAATACCTTGGAAACTATTAAGATATTTAATTTACACAGAATTGTGAAATATTTTAATTTATGTGAGATATTAACTTGCTGAAGGTTATTGCTATAGAGGGCATTTACTAATAGAATTGGTTCTAAACAAACTTGTAAAATAGGCTAAATTTTTCTTGAAGTTTTCAGTCTCTCCTTTCTGGACCTTCCTTCCCCTTCCCGTCTCCCTCAAAAATGTTTTATTTTATTTTTTTAAAGTCACTAAGTGTAGAGTAACCTGACATCTCAAATTACCTAGGACAGTCCCAGCTTATGTCTATTGTAGTGGTGTAATTACTAATGACACATCCCTTTACTCTCAAAAGTGTCTCAGTTTATGGCCACCCTACTTAAATAATGTTTTTAATAGGCTTGATAGATACTTTTATCATGGAGAAATGTTGAGGTGATTAAATTATCAGAAAAGACTAAATTTTCCTATAGTCTTAATTTTATTTTTAAAGCCGAGGTCTCCCTTGGTTGCCCAGGCTGGAGTGCAGTGGTGCGATTATAGCTCACTGTAGCCTGCAACTTAAAACTCCTGGGCTCAAGTGATCCTCCCCCCTCAGCCTCCCAGGTAGCTAAGACTAACAGGTGCATGCTGCCATGCTGGGCTAATTTTTTTGAATTTTTCCTTGTTTTGTAGTGACAGGGTCTCACTATGTTGCCCAGGCTAGTCTTGAACTCCTGGTTTAAAGTGATCCTTACAGGCATGGGCCACCATGCCCAGCCAAAAAAAAAAAAAAAAAAAAAAAAAAGTTTAAAAGAACATGGCGTGCTGTTTTGAATATACAGTTTCAGTTATACAATGTGAATAGGTTCTAGAGATTTTCTTTAAAACATTGTGCCGATAGTTAACCATAACATATTGTACACTTAAACATTGAAGTGGTAGGCTGGGTGCAGTGGCTCATGCCTGTAATCCCCAGCACTTTGGGAAGCCAGGGCGGGTGGATCACCTGAGGTCAGGAGTTTGAGACCAGCTTGACAAACATGGTGAAACCCTGCCTCTACTAAAAATAAAAAAAAAATCAGCCGGGCATGGTGGTGGGTGCCTGTAATCTCAGCTACTCAGAAGGCTGAGGCAGGAGAATTGCTTGAACCTGGGAGGCAGAGGTTGCAGTGTGAGCCAAGATCGTGCCACTGCACTCCAGCCTGGGCAACAAGGGCAAAACTCCGTCTCAAAAAAAAAAAATAAAGAGGTATATATCATGTTTAGTGTTCTTACCACAATAAAAGATGGCAGGAGGTTAGAGGTATTTACTTATTTACTATATAGATTGTTTATTGTCATATTATTTATTAAACTATTCTTGTATTGTACCCTATCTTATCAGCCCTTTAACCTTCTCTTACTTATACCTAGAAAAACACCAAAGCTGGAGAAAGCCAAACATTCCCTTCATCTAGTCCAAACATCTTGGTTGTAATGTACTACCAGCAAAAACACCATTTCACTACATGCAAATCACACAAAAACTGAGTCTCTAACTATCACCAGGCTCTGCCAGTTGCTACCTCTTATGTTTCAAAAAAGCTCCCTCTGTCATTCCCCTCCACAACTGTTTCCAATTCTTACTTCTCTTTTTAACCCCTGACCTGCCATTCCTTCCCCCACCTCTTGCCACATTCTTGTAGATGATCTCATCTCCTTCCTCACAGAGAAGATGGAGACCATCAGGCAGAAACTGTCTTTACATCACCTCACTCTGAAAGATCCACTCAGTGTTGCTATTTCTGGATTCATCTCCAATACCCCTCCTTCCTATGTACTTGGGGAAAAAGGTAATTCCACTTTTGAGTTACATTCCTTTATTTGGGAACCTTGCTCCTTCTAGTATCCTTTCTCTCCTGTGTCTACCATCTTTCCCTTATTATGACTTTTTCTCTTTAGCATACTTTTAAGTGTTAACACTCCCAGGTCCGCAAGTTTTAGCCATTCTATAAACTCAGTTCTCCAATACCTGACAAAGTCCCTCTCCTCCACCACTTTTCTTATCTCTGAGTACATTGTTCTGGTCTTGTCTTGTTCCTCCAAGAACCTTTTTCTTCCCCTACTCTGCCTCAGTCTGTGATGGGTACTGCTATTCGGTGTCCTCCCACATTATAGGCATACATTTGCCTGTGTGGAAATTGTTTACTAGTGTGTCTTTCCCACTATATGATGAACTTTTCGAGAACAACATCTATCATTCATCTCTACATTGCCAATGGTCTACTTTAGAGTGGTGTTATTCGCCAGTGTGATATAGCATCCATTTCATGAAATATTTTCTTACACATTCACTCGGTGAGCTAAAATACATCATTATAAGACATGCCTGCAGAATATTTAGGATAACAAATATTTATCTCCCTTTACTCCAAGATGAGCCATCAAGGGGTGCTCTCTAAAATTATAGAACTGTTTTTAATAATGAATATAAGATTTGAGCAAAAGAGTAAGAATGTGAAACGGCAGAAAAGACAGATGGCTAAAGGAGAGAACAGAAATAGTGACTACAGCCTTCAAGTAGAAGAATAAAAACTAATAGTTATGTAGTGTTTCCCATGTACGCAGCCCTCCTTATATATGAACTTAATCCTCATTACAACTCTAGGATGTAGACACCGTTATTAACTGAATTTTACAAATAAAGAAATAAAGGCTTAGGTTGATAAGTGACAAGCCCAAGGTCACATAGTATGTAGTAAAGTTGGGATTTGATTCCAGGCAGACCAACTCCAAAGTCCTCACTCTTAACAATCTCTTCTCTAAGCCTGTAACCCACACAGGACAATAGCAGGGCAATGAAATTGTATGGTCCAATAAGTAATTCAATTATTGAAATAGCTAAAAACAGAATTTAATGTGAGCCCCTTTTGTTACTGAAATCTGTGAAGAGTATCTTCATCTCATGGTAAGTTGGTCTGATTTCCTTTGTTTGAATTTTTTTGGTGCTAGCTTCAGTTATAAACATGCCAATATTTTTACAGGGTTCAATAATAGTTTTTTAAGAAAAGTGACTTCAAAAACATAGAAGGTCTAGTTATCTAACCATCAAATTGTTAAGTATTAATAAAAAAGCAAAAAAATTGTCTTTTAGACAGTGTTTCCATTTAAAATAGTTGGAGCTGCTGTCCTTTAAAAAGCACACGTATTTTCTAATCTGCCAAGTAAATCTACTTCTTTCCACTCTGCTTTAGTGGTTTTTCTGTATTAAATGTGCACAAATAGAAGAAACCACAGCACCTCCAAAATGCTGCTGCTTAATTCTCCTGTATGATTCTCTGTATTGAAGATGTCTACCTAAACAGATTTCATGAGCTTTGTGAAATTTTGACTTCAAAGAGTGACACTTGAATTTTTAATCACCTTACTCAGGAACAATGTTTTCTTGGTATGCCTTCCATTTCTCTTTTATGTAGAAAAATTATATGCATTTTTACTAAGTCATCAATTTCTACTTGAAATTCTATCCTCAGTTTCATGCATGCATGCATGGCTTTATAAAAGTGGGATAAGTTTTTTTGTGCTTCAGGGACTGTTCAGTGAAAGCAGGCTCCAGCAGAGCTTTGTCCATATCCGACAAATGCTTGCTGTCAGATTTTCCCTTCTCCTCTGTTTGACATGATGGAATCCCTTACAAACATGTCGATTTGGACCAGCACGCTGCATACTAAATTATGAAAACAGTATTCACATTTTAGCATCAAAAAAAGTGGACTCATCATGTGGTATTGTTCTGAAGTGAAACCTTGGTGATGAAAGGAGAAAACAAGCCTATCCACCAATTATCTCAATATTTTGAAGGCCATGGCATAGGGTGGATGTTTGACTCTTGCTGTGGGATGGCAGGTTTGCTATGATTTATGTAGATCTAACTATATGATTTTGGTTTTGATGACAGATGTTACAGGAATAATATTCGGCTTTGTGATGTTTTGTAATATCCCTCGGGTAAAAATGAATCTGTGTAGAATTGAATAATATGGTAGTTGTATTTGTTAATTGAAGTTGCTATGCTTTGTACTTTATTTCAGAGCATCATGCCTGAGCAGACATAGAAAATAGCAATTACTTTTAGCAAATGTGAGACTGGCCTGCAAGATTCCTGGCATGTGGCAAGCCTCTAGACATACAGGGAAGAGAAAGAATGGGGTTGCAGACTGGGGTTTCACTTGTAGGATGTACTTATCATTTCTGGAAATCGATAATATCTTACATGTGCTTTGTTCCCATCCCTTATGCACAATATGCTGGCTTTAAATATACTGGAGTTAAGTAAAGTGGATGTGTCTGTGACAATTGTAAGATGTACAATCATTCTCTCATTTTTCTGTGATTCAAAAATTTAGCCATTTCAAATCTTTTTGATAACATACTGAAGATTCTCACTTTTTGTTTCACATTGAGACTGGAAATAAAGGAAAGAATTGTTTCAACGTATACCCAGTGGAAGGGGGCTTAGTGACGCACAACAGAGATAGCACATGGGGAGTGAGTACTCAGGAACAAGTGTCCAGCAATAACCTGTGCAATGGTTATTGCTCAGAATTCAAGCATTTCAATACTTGAAATAACCACACTGTGCTTTTTAAAATTAGTAATGCAAAGTGAATTTAACAAGATTTTCATTCTCCAAACCATTTTGTATGTCACTTAAAGGTTGATCTCTTAAATATATTTTAATCATGTCATTATACTAATAAAACAATGTAAATAGCCTTCTGTTGCCTATAGGATTTTGGGCACGTGTCACACTGATATTTAAGGTCTTCTTCAAACAGGTTGAGTGAATCTAATTCCTTAGGTAGCCTCTCTAGGTTTTAGCTTTTGGGTTTCTACTAAAAAGCATCTGCAATTTTGTGCCTAGTCAATTGGAAAACCTTTCTAAACTCTATTTCTTACCCATTGTCAGTAGCAATTGATAACTTTTTTTGAGTATTTATTTTGTGCCAGATATCTCACTGAGTGCTTTACATGCATTATCACATTTACTTAACACAACAACCCTGTGCAGTAGGTTCTATTATTTCCCCAATAGTGGGAGTTAGACACACAGAGATATAGAACATCATTTAGGTTACAAAACTAATAGGCTGCAGGGTCCAGTCTGACTCTAGATTTAAATAGCGATCTAAATCAGTAAACTGAACTGCTTTCATTTTGCTTTAGGTTTTCTATTCCACAACTTCTTTTTGTTTGTTAGTTTTTTGATTCTGCCTAAGACTAAACTCTTGGGCTTGGTACCTTGGTTGGGATAGCTGTCTGGCTTTTTGTTTGGTTTTACATTTGAGCGCTGCCTCACATCAAACTTGGCTTCACATTTCCTAGTCCTTAAGCCAGTCCACTTTCTCCAAGTCAGATCTGTCCACTGCTTCCTGCTAGGGGTGCCCTGTCTGCCAATCTCCTGAGGAAGCATTATATTAAGTCATCTCTGCATCATCACATTCATTGACTTTTTCTTTTACCTGCTTAGAAGTTTTGGAAATTCCTTTCACCTTCAATTAGACAAATTCTGCTTCTGTGGCTTTCTGAAAGCAGGATGATTCTGTTTCTGCTCCTAGCTAAGTGTCCTCTTTATTTACCTAAATGATGTCTATCTTTATTTAGGCCTTTTATTCCCTAAACCCATGCATTCAAGGCTCTGACCTTTCATTCTATCTCTTTACCTCCTATTCTCTCTCTTTATAAATTCCACCCATTCCCATAGCTTGCTATTGTTTTTAGGTGGATGAGTCTGAAATCCATGACTTCTCTCAGGACCTATTATGCAGTGTCTTGCTTTTAATTGTCAGCTATTTCCATATCAATGCCCTATTTCTATAACCAGTTTTATAATCTCCACATTTAATTCCTCCCCTTTGCCTTAAACCTGCTCCTCCTTTTGACCCCTCTTTTTATTTTTGTTTTTCTTAATGTTCCTACAAGTATCTCCGATAAATTGGCTGCAATTTCAGTATTTTTTGGTTTCTCCCTGTCTCTCTTATATCCAATAACAATAACAATTAGCTAATGTTTATTGTACTATTACTATGTGCCAGAGAGCTTTCTAAAATTTTACTTGGATTATCTTAATTACATACTTAAATTATAAAGTAACTACCCATTGTTATTCCCATTTTATAGCAGAGACCTCTTGAGTAATGGTCTTGTTAATTTCTTGCTCATCACCTCCCCCTTTATCCATCCCTTTCTGTTAACAGAAACAGCAGTAGTTTCTGTTGGTATTTCTCTGAACTTGAACTGGTATTTTTCCTCTAGACCTCTCTCCTCTCAACAATACATTCTACATACTTGCTGATGAATATTACTCCTAGAATATTATTTGATAATGCCACTTTCTGGCCCCAAGACTTTTCATCACTTCCCTTGTTTTGCATATTAAAGTCCAAAATTTTTCCTTCATATTCAAACCTACCACCTATAGTCCCAAACATATTCTACTGACATGCCAGGAAAGCTGTTGAATTTCTTCCAAGATCTTTTTAATTTTCAAAGTTATTTTTCCAATCTCCCAGCTTTGGTTATTCCATTCTCAGAGTCTAAATGGCACTCATCTGTCCTCACTCTCTTTGTAGATACCGTATACAACGTCAAGGCTTGGCTCGAATGCCACTTCTTGCTTTCTTGAGTACTTAAACAAAAGAGATGTCCATGTTCTGAAATTTCATGGGGCATTTGTTTGTGCCACTCACATAAAGCCTATTTATTGCCTTGTTTGTGGTCATTTTTGTGTTTTTCTTTTGCTTGTACTAGGCTATAAACCTCTGGGGAAGGTGAAACTGTCACATTTGCCTTGTATTCTTCTTGATGCAAAAGAGATACTTTTATGTGAGGAAAGCTTGGAAAACGTTTGACTGTAGGAATGAATGCAAAATCTCCTTTATGATGTAATAATTCTGTTGGCTTTTAATTTTGAGCGACAGAGTTTCTTTTTAGAATCTGATAAAACAGAATTTTTAGCCAGAAAAAAAAAAAGAACTGCACATAGGAACAAGTTTTGTAAAAACTTCAATGTATTCATGGATGCCCTGGAGCCAATCCAGGTTAAAAAAGTTTAAATTTCACCCATCCAAGTATTTTATGATCTATATTTTGGCCGTGTAACCATGGGGGTTACCCAAAATGGGAGGAGTTTTTTCACATTTCAGTGCCAAAGGTTTCCAAATATAAAGAACACTGCCGTGTCTGCCTCAGTGGGATGTGAGGTAATAACGGATAAATACAAGTGAAAGTATTTATTTGTACTGTCACTCAGGATACATAGCATGTAAGACATTATATTAGGGATACAGGAAGTTTTAATAACAAAAATAATTAAATCATTTTTACCTTATGAGACTATAATTTTTATAATTCAGCCATGTAGGTGGGGCACATTTGTATACTTTATTTTATATGGGGCTCATAACCTTTCTTCTAAGATGCTCAGTGAAAAGAGGCAGTGTGGCCACTAACTTTGTCAGTGACTATTTCAAGACTGTACGTGGATGTTCCTTCTCCCTTTACTGGTAGTCCTTACCTGTGTTCTCTGGAGAAAGCTGTAGTGAATCTGAAGTGTAGATATAACCATCAGCCCCACTATCCCGTCAATGTCAGGGGATCAGAAGATGGGCCACAGAGTTCAAGATAAGAAAAATAGAAGGCAGAAGAATAGTGTGTCTGACACTTTGTAACTCTGTGGGTGGCATCAGTGGCTGGCCGTACAGCTTACATCTAAAGTGTAGCTTTTTTGAATTGTGTCCAGGCTTCCTGGTAATAGTCACACAGTTAATACCTTGATGATGATCCAAAGATCATCTCTTTCCATTGCTTCTTTCACCTGCTCCTGACCTTGCAAGACAGCCACATTAGAAGCTATATTTCTTTTTCTTTCTTTTTTTTTTTTTTTTGAGACGGAGTCTCGCTCTGTCGCCCAGGCTGGAGTGCAGTGGCGGGATCTCGGCTCACTGCAAGCTCCGCCTCCCGGGTTCACGCCATTCTCCTGCCTCATCCTCCCAAGTAGCTGGGACTACAGGCGCCCGCCACTACGCCCGGCTAATTTTTGTATTTTTAGTAGAGACGGGGTTTCACCGTTTTAGCCGGGATGGTCTCGATCTCCTGACCTCGTGATCCGCCCGCCTCGGCCTCCCAAAGTGCTGGGATTACAGGCGTGAGCCACCGCGCCCGGCCTAGAAGCTATATTTCTAACATAAAGAATGATTCATGAAACTCAAGTATTTATGTGAATTCATATTAACTTCTCTTTGTAAAGACTGAAGTTGGATAGGTATTATGGGAGGCAACATGATGGGAAAGATGGATGGAATAACTAACCAATTAAATCAGTAAGCATGAAGTACAAATAATGGGCTACACTCTAGCTGTTGGAGATTTGGAAAGGAGGAAGACGTAATTTGCATCTTCAAGGTGGTCTGAATCCAGAAAAAAAGAGGCAGGCATATTGTTAAATCAAGTTTAGAATAAAGCTGCCTCCTTACATATGTTAAGTTTAGCCTAAAGGTTTCTCTATATCGTGAACTGTAACAAGTGGAGCTGTAAATAGACTGAAGCCTACACTCGTGCCAATCTCCAAGTTTTGGCCAATCAAATGTAGCCAACTGTTCCAACCATGTTCTAATAAGGTAAATGCTGAGCTGTAACCAATCCAGCTGTTTCTGTACCTCACTTCTATTTTCTGTATGTCACTTTCCTTTTTCTGTCCATACATCATCTTCTACCATGTGGCTGCCCTGGAGTCTCAGAGCCTATTTTGGCTTAGGAGGCTGCCCTATTTGCAAATCGTTCATTGCTCAATTAAATTCCTTTAAATTTAACTCAGCTGAAGTTTTTTTTTTTTTTATCAATATCAACGTATAATTATAAGACTTTTATAGGAGCAGTGACTGAGATTCACTGGACATGGTCGGAGTATAGAGAAAGAGTACCTAAACCAAACTAGGTGAGTTAGGATTGTCTTTAAAAAGCCACCATCACTATCACCACCAAAATTCATTTGCTCATTACCGAACATTTGTGATATTATATTGATAGGCAGATCTATCTATATATCTATCTATCATCTATCTATCTATCTATCTATCTATCTATCTATCTATCTGTCATCTATCTATCTGTCTATCTGGAGAGAGAGAGAGAGAGAGTGAGAGAGAAGGGATTCCAGTTTTCTAAGACTTTATAAATTAACATAAACACACTGACTTAAAATGAAAGACACCAGTAAAGCAGTCATATTTACTGCAGTAATACTTCACTCAGAGAATTATATATGGAAGAAGGCAAATAGTTCAAGGTGTGTGTGTGTACATCTGTTTATTCCTTAGGTTCTCCAATCAGTCTGCAAATAACTGTCCTAATGAAAATTTTTATGATGTGATGGAGGTCACTGGAAATGCACTACAGTCATTAATTCATTACACAAAGGTCATTGTAGCTACTTTCAGATAGGATAACTTTTGCTCTCTGATGAACTGATATGCATGTGAGAGAGTCAATGTCATCTTCCAAGTCTCTAGAGCAATCTATGCCACTGTCATATCTTTTTTTTGAACCATGACATTCTGAAAAAGTGATTGTAACTCTTTCTTCTATTATTTCACAAAGGTTGTACTGTCAAGCACTCTCCAGGATGTATATTTTTAATATTTGGCTTCCTCCCTAGAATTGTGAACTCTTCAGATGCTGTGGTAACGGGCTTGAAAGTCATCTATGAACTGGAGTTTCTATTAATGTGAATAACAGGTATTCTAATTTCTTTCCACATTTCTCCTGGCAGATAAAACATTCTAGTTTGAGAATAGATCTCTAACCCATTCCCCAAATAATTAACAAGTATCTTTTGAAAACTTTAATTAAAGATAAAAAATCTGGGATAGCAGGGTGGGGATATATGTAATAAAATCACATAGTTTCAATTAAACTTCAGAAAAATTACACATATCCAGTGATGAATTTAATTTTATTTTAGAAGAAAATGTTGCTTAACCTACCTTTAGTTGAGGCATCTATATAAATGCTTGGCCTGATATTTTTTATTGCATATTTCATTATTCATTATTAAGTTACCGGCCTTTTTGCTTGGAGAAAAAGTCTATCCGTGAATCAATGATCTATCTATCATGTCTATACTATCTACTATAGATAATTTTGAATATATGTGCACCTATATCTTATGTTAAAATTAACATTAAAATCACTTAAAAGAACAGTATTCCATTGCATTTCTGTTAGAAAACAATTGTTATGATTTTAACCATCTTGAGAAAAGGTAAAAATGCACGTTAAAATTATTCCTTTTGTCCCTGCCTCTTTTTTTTTCCTAATTTTGTGATTTCTGTTTGTATTAAAGCTCATTAGAAATGAACAAATTTACAAATTAAATCCCCTAACTTCTCCAATATAAAGAATATGGTAAAATATTTATTTCAAACAATATGTCCCTTGGTATGAACATGTGCTAGGTCAGTTTTCTTGCTATATTTTGAAATAGGTCTAATTCAGAAGCTTTTTAGAGCAAAACATTGTACATTTGACAGTAATTGTGACGGATTTTCATAATGCACTGATGTAGCATGTCAAATCTTATGTAGTCAGTTAAATTCAGGGAAAGAAATTAAATTTGGCAATAGTTGGAATTTTTCTCTCCCTGTAATTAAGGAAAGCTCTCCTTCTTGCTATGCTTCATCTGCAATAGACACATTGCTCTCTTTAACATCACTTAAGGACACTCTAATTTTCTGTCAAATTCCAACCAACTTATGTTATCATTTTGTCAGTTTCCATTTTCAGTCCCCTTTCTGCCTTTGAAACGTTTCATCACGGAGTCAAAGGCATAAAATAAATGTTTCTCAACTTGTGATTCTTTCTTTTTCAAAGAAGTTTGTCTTCTTTAATGAGGGCTATCTCACACCAAAGTGTGTTTTATAGAGCAGAGAACAACAGGAAATAGACAATGCAGCTCTGTTAAAAAAATTGACATTGTCCATAAGGTTTTTTTGATTATTAAGTAATTAATGAAAGGAAATACAAAAACTATTAAGGTTTTCTGAAGGCCAGTTACATCAGGCATATAGTCTAAATAAACTAAGAGATCTAGAAGATTGATGTTTTAGTATTCAAATTCTATCCAGAGAAATAAATTTAGATTTGTACATATTGGTCAATAAAATATAATTCTTAAAAAAATTCTCTTCCTTCTCCATCGGTCTACTTTGTGCACGCTTGAGAGATTATACAAGTGGACAAAGCACAGGCAGCTGCAGCAGAGCAGGTGAAGTTGGTGCAATAGAGCTACATGACAGGACTCTATTACAGTAAGCAATACAATTCCAGAAATAACCTATGTGGAACATATTGCCTCTGCTACAAATGTCAGAAAATGGACTTTGATTGATGGTGTCGCAACACAAAACCACATACTAAAACTTTTTAATTATGATGACTGTAAAAGTGTATACAGCCTTGCCAGCAGAGTTAGTAGTTTTTATTATTAACACATAGGCAAATAACATAAATTCTGTATGCTCCTCAGGCCTTACAAATGTTTCTGATTGCTGCCATCAGCATGTATGTAAGCAGGAAGGCATGACTGAGGTCTGGTGATCATCACCTCTGAAGAGGGAAGCTTTCCATAGGGAGTGATTATCTACGGAGAACCACACCACCTGGAGTTGCCATATTGCTACTCTAAAAATTCCCTAATGTGGGAGAAAAATGTGTTCATTTGTGTTGGAAGATGTTGTTAGCAGTTAGAATATTAAATAGTGGTATGGTTTATACAGACTAAGCTCTATAGAACGCTCAGTCATAAATTGAAATACTTGTCGTTTAAACAGCTTCATAAACTTAAGAAAAAAACACACCCAACAAACATTCACAGCATTTCTGTAGAAGCATTTGCTGACAGTGAAAGTGGCAAAATTGCTAGTTTTTAGATTGTCTAGAGAAGTGGGTTGCTTTGAAGGATGAGTGATCTGATTTAGAGCAAGTTGGCTACAAATTCTGTTTTTTCAAAAATTGGATTTGCAAATTGAAGTTAAAACATATGGGGAATTTTTATTAGTTCACTTTTGTTTATTCCAAATTGCCTTATAAAGGAAATTAAAGAAAAGAAAGAAAGCCACATGGATATCACCAAATATGCACTGTTTTTCCATATTTCTTTGCTGCCTTAGCCTATAGCAAGTTAAAAAAATGTAATTTTAAAAAGAACCAATTATGATAATAAATTCTTGCCAAATATATATATACAATTTCTATAATTAAAGACAGTTTCTATAATTAAAAGTCTATTGTGGTAAAGAAATCTTTTTCTTCAGAATATATTTTGTCAATGAATATACTGAAATGAATTATCTTATAGAAACAGCTCTAGTGAAAATCATCTGTATTTTGCTGTGTGTGAAATTTTAGATGCATGTAATTGCAAGAATTTCATATTCTAAAATTTTTATCAGAGTCTGTAAGGCTGGCAATATTATTTTTTGCACTGGTGAGGAGATTGACTTTTTTCCTCAGGTGAAATTTAGATCTGTTAAAGGTTTAGTTATATTGAAAAAAAATTGAGAATTAGTGCAGAGATTAGAAAATGATAATGCCAAACTTAAAAAATTTCTTTTCTTTTTAAATCAAATTATAAGCTACCTGCTTTATTTTTTCCAATGTTCCATTTATTTGGTTTTAAACATAAAATAGGTAGTAATATTACATTTGGTTTCACTTTGAATTTCCAAGTTAAAATTTATTAAACATACACAAACAAGTAAGCTCTGTGAGGCCTGAGACTGTGCCTGGTTAGATTAAAATAATGGTCTCTCATAATAATGCTTCAAATTTATTAAGATATTACTTTGTGCCAGATGTTGTTCAAAGCACATACATGTAAAGCAGGATATTTCCCTGACCTGTTTGTGGGATTCGAGACAAGGGTGCCACAAGGGTCCGCTGCTCTCAACTCCTTGTGGGAGGGGGCGTGTGAGTGAATGAGTGCAGGAACTGGAGTGAACAAGTGCTGGAACTGGCTGGCCCCTTTGGCACCAGCGGGACCAAACTCCACTCACTTGGACCTGCTGCGTTCCACCCTTTGTGGGAGGGACCATGCAGGTGAGCAGGTGCAGGAACCAGCCAGATGGTTTAGCACTGGCAAGAGTGAACTCTGTACAGGCCTCATGGCAGCATCCAGGCAGGGGTGCCTGTGACTACTGAAGCTCCAGAGGGTGTATTACAGTGCTCTTTTAGCTCTGCCATCCATGGATGGCTTAAGTGTTAACAGCTCAGTGGACTCTTTGCATTTTCATGTGAGGTGGCTGTCCTCTGCCAGCGAGGGCAAAGGACAAGTGTGACAGCCTTTTTTATCCATACTTGTGGCTCCAGAGCTCTTGTCTGGTGTCCAGAAAAAATGAGGTTGCATGAATGAATTGAAGGATGATAAATGTGGGGGGGTTTTATTGCCAATGAAAGTGGCTGTCAGCAGGAAGAGGAGGTGAAAAGGGGACAGGGTAGGAAGGTAATCTTCCCCTGAAGTCCAGCCATCTCTGGCCAGATTCTTCTCTGAAGTTACACTGTCAAGCTGTCTGTCTGAAGTGAAGCTGCTTATCTCCAACGTCCAGCTGTAGTCCCATCTACTGGCTGAGTCTGGGGTTTTTATGGGCATAGGATGTGGCCAGGTGGGGCCGTGGGTGGTTTAGGAAAAGGCAACATTTGAGTGGGAAAACAGGGATAGAAGTTCTCCCTTTGGGCTGTGGTTTCAGGCTTTTTGGCTTGAGAGTGGGGTTTTGCCTGGAACCCACACTTTTCTGCCTAGAATTTCTCTGCCCCCTGTCCCTAACACATGTATTATCTTGTTTGGTCTTCTTGACCATTGCTCTTCTTTGCCTCAGCACAGCAGAATTAAATGTCTTAGAAGCCCTCGGCCCTGAGAAAGAGAACAGTGCCTCACCTTCTATTCTTTGCTATATGCATTTCATACTTTTTTTTAAAAAAAGAAAATAAGCCAAACTCAAAGGCATAAAACTTTCATAAATGCTGAAATTAGTATTTTCATTGAAAACTAATTTTAGATTTATTTGATTGTCAAATTATGAGTAGTTTTGCCAAAGTTGTACTTCACTAATTTTTAATTCCCCCCTTAGCTAATGTGTTCAATATGTGCTTAATTTGCCTTCTGTGAAATTCCTCCAGGACCCTCAATGACTAGAATATCCTGGTAGACATACTTTATTGCCAGCTGACACAGTGATAGGAATAAGTATTTACATAGCCCCTGTCTTCAGCTAATTAGGGAGATAAGACATATTGTTATAGAAAGTTTAAAAATAAAGAACACTTTAAAGGAACAACAAGAACTTATTTACAGAACAGCTTTCATGTTCATTTCACTCATTTGTTATTTTCTTTTTCTTTTTTCTGTTTCTAATCAATGTATTATTATTTTATGTAGGAAATTTGGGAAAAAGACATAGAGAGCCCATACAAATAATCAAATGTGGGTGGCAAATGAATGATACAAACTGAATGAAAGAAATTACACATTCCAAGTCCTATTGAGGTTTACATTTTTCAGCATCAGCAGAGTTGAGTGAAAAGTGCCCTAACATAGTAATCAGAGCACTGGGTTCCAGTTCTGCCACTGCCATAAAGTAGCTTGGGACAAGCTGCTTCATTTTTCTGGCCCTCAGTTTATTTATCTGGAAAATAATGTGGCTGTGGTGGATGACTGTGTTAGATACTTGTTTTTGTGTTCCCTTTAGTCTGTCCCTTTTCCTGTGTCAAGTCATTTCTTCTTCCAGAGTTATCTTTCAGCAGGAATGA
Source organism: Homo sapiens (assembly GCF_000001405.40). Classification (NCBI taxonomy): domain Eukaryota; kingdom Metazoa; phylum Chordata; class Mammalia; order Primates; family Hominidae; genus Homo; species Homo sapiens. The sequence continues at coordinate 104,354,673 of NC_000006.12, read as the reverse complement.
GACTGTCAGCTTAGAAAAAAGAAATTAGCATCTAAATGCAAATGGGTGAGGGTTAGGATTATTTATTCAATGATTTCATTTTTTCCTATTTGTAATGAGTCTGCACTTATTGTGTGTAAAATGTTGTGGCAATGCAAAAGCTAGGAAGGTAGAATCTTTTTTCAAGACAGAATTCTAGAACCTGATGAACGAGAGGAGCAAGGGCTGTGCTATAGAACTTTTGAAGTGAGAAAGGTAGGATGGAGGATTTCATGGCAGCGTTGACATCTGAACTGGGTCCTTTAATCAACCAATTGTCATCTCATTTGTATGTAACATTTATTACGTAGAGCCCATTGTGTGCTAGTCACTGTGGGAAACACAAACAAGAAGACACAGACCCAGTCTTCATTTTCACCAAGCGAATTTGCCAGAAAAGCAAAATTTGTTTAAAAAATATTGCCTCTGATTTTCTTAGTATCTGACATTCAGGCAAAGACATTAATAACTTCATGGGCTTTTAAAATAATTCACATTTTATTGAGAAAAGCACAAAGTCATTTCCATTTTCTTAACCTAATAAAATGTAGCTCTCCTTTGGATTATTGTTCATTCAATAATATAGACTGGAATTTCACGTTAGCAGAAATATTACTGCATCCAATAGATTGTATCTTACTATTCTCTGTCCTTTCCAAAATCATGCTGTGCATGAAACTTTTGGTTTATGGGCTTTTCCCCTCATGAGAGTACTAACTTGAATGTGTTCTGTAAAATGTCACATTGTCCAAAAACTGGTTTTTCTAGCTTTTGTGAAGATTATATGGTCTATGGGTTCTGCCTGGTAAGTTTTTGTACATCACTCTACGTCTCTGCTCATGGTGAGCATCGCGGACTGAGAACAGCCCTACTTTTGATAGATGTCAGTACGTTTCCTCAGTGACTGATTTTTATTAGTTTCAAAAGATAACAGTATATGCATGCACACACGCTGATGTTTCTGAAGGGCATTGTGATGAAAGATTAGAATGCTTTTTGCCTTCTTCCTGATCAAACAGCATGTCTTAGAGAGCATGGGTACATTTACTTTTTTTGTCACCAAAAAGAATAAAATCTGTTGACGTTGTTACATATCATTCAGCTTCATTCATTCTTAATGCCAAAGTCTGCCTATTTGGTCAGTAAAGGTTGAGATCATGAGGTCAGCTATCACATAAATTTCAGTATATCTGGAATGTAATGTTAATCCAGAAGTTATTTCAAGGGAAAGAAGCAAGATACCCATGATTTAAGCACAGGTGTTTAATGGCCAACTGTGGAATTAGGTTCACCTCATAACAGTGAAAAACGCTACCTGGGGAATTGAAAATTAACACAGAGTGTAGGTTTTTATTATAATGAATACCAATGAGACAAAAGAACAATTCCATGAACTTAAGAAAGTTAACTCAGCTACACCTGGCAAGCTGTATATCACAGAAGACTTTAACACACACATTGGCAGCAATGTAAAAAAGCAAAAGGAAATCACTGCGACTGGCAAGACTGGAAAACTGAACATCTACAGCATCCATCTTAGGTGGTGAAACAGATTTTTCCTAAAATAATTCTCTTCTTTTCAAGCAATATGCATTACAGTTTTATCTCAGATATTGAGACCTAAGGGATGTTTCAAATCCTTAATGATAGAGTCTATCACTGCTTATTTATGCAATTATGCTAAACAATCTTAGTATGATGTATGAAAACATTGACTTCAGTCAGATCCATGTGAAGCTTTAGAATGTCTCTCTGCAAAAGTATCAAGTCTTTCCTTTGGGGTCTGGAAATCTTATCTTAAACGGATGATGTGTACAGCACATGAGGAAAAGCTTCTGATGTCATGTTCATTAAACTAACATGTATGGTGCTTCTTTGATGCACTGGATACTATCAGCAATAGACTCTGTCAATAGTAACAAGAATAAGATGCTTAAACTATGAGCCCTTCCCACCAACTGTTCATTATCTGATAACATAGGATAACCTTTACCATCCTCCAGCTAGACAGTATGTGATTTTTATAGTGAGAAAAATGGTATCCAAGAATTAGGTTGGTGTAAAAGCAGTTGCGGTTTTTGCCATTACTTTTGCACCAACCTAATAGATCATGCACAGCCAGTTTAAGAGGCTGTTATAATGGGTGGAAAGTCTGGCATTCACGACTTGAAGGGTCACTGAGGAAAGGTTAGCTAATGGCTATGGAAAACCTATTCTATGACAGAAATTCATGAGATTTTTCTCCACTGGTTTTATCATTTGATGCTTGCAGCATCTTGATGAGGAAAGGCAGTGGTCAGGATCTTTCAGGTGCAGGTGTCAGAAACCCAGTACTAATCAGCTTAGATAAAAAACAGAATATATTGGCTCACATACCTAAAAAACCCTGGGATAGGTAAAGATGCAGCACTGGGTCTCTCTTCATATACTGGCTCTGCTTTCCAGGATGTTGTTCTTAGTCCTAGGCTCTGCATGGTGACCTCTGGTCCAAATTTAGAGGAAAATAACATCTCTTCCTATCAGCTCCTAGGCAAATCCTTGAATTACTTCTATTTGTGCCCTCTTCTGCTCTCCTCTCCTCTCTTCTCACTCTATACCTGTTTCTTGGTGATCTCATCTATAACTTCAACTATTACCTGCGTGCTCATGGCCTCCAAACCTACTTTTGAAGCCCCTGCAGTGTTCCTGAACCACAGACCTGTTAAATTCCCTCCTAGAAATCTTTACTGGAGGTTCCAGAGGTAGTTCTGTAGATAGAAGTATCTAGGGAAGACTTTGTTATCTAGGTGGTCACCTGCTTCATTCCAAGAGTGGGGTTTGAGACTGGGCAAGATGGGCTTTGAGGGGAGGGGCATGTGTGTGTCTAAGCTATAGAGTCAGAGAGACTTGAGATTATAGCTTGCTTCTATACTCACTACACTAAATGCCAGTTTCATCATTTATAAAATGAATACAATAAAATGTTTGTTGCAATGATTAAATAGGGCTATATATGTATCTAAATATCTATAAATAGGGATATATATCTCTTTATATATCTATATATGCATATATATCTCCCTATATATCTATATATACATATATATGTGTATATGTGTGTGTGTGTGTATGTGTGTGTGTGTGTATATATATATATATATATATATATATATATATATATATATGAAGGTTTCTTTTGAGTGCTGGAAACATAATAAGCTAAGGATGACCATGAAATTTCTATTGGCATGTTGACTCTGACAGTAACCATTGGAGTGTTCTGTTAGGGAGAGCTATGAGGAAATGTCCAAGATTATTAAGAAAGAGATCTGTAATCATTCAGTGATCTCTAACTTGGTTATGAGAAGGTAAAGGAGCAACCCTCATGCCTCACACTCGCTTCTGAAACAGGCACTCAATGAATAAGCCAGCATTAGTATGTTCTGTCGTGGTTATTATTACTTCCTTCTTGTTGTTTAATATCACCATCTACTCAGGTTTCTAGCCTAGGCCATAGTATTGTCTTTCCTTTCCTATTTCAATAGTTTATATTCAATTTGTGATGCAGATTTTTTTTGTATTCTCTATATAAACCCCTCCCCTTAATGCTTTAAGTCATTCTCTGTTTATTTCTCATCTGGTTCGATGCAATTTTTAACATTTTCAACTCAAATTTTACCTCTTATTTTAGATTTTGCTCCCAAGAAAGTTTTCCCAGATTGCAAAAATTGGAAAAATTTCAACTCCTCATCATGGTACATAAAATCTTTTCTCACCCAAACCTTGGCTATCCTTTTGAAGTCACTATTACTGACCTCACTACACAGCCTGCTCTCCACTTATATTGATTTCTCTTCAACCACAATCATCTCAATTCTCTCCCTAGGTTGCTCCTAATTCCTCAGAAATGCCCATTCCTTCTTTTGGCTAGGTAGTGCTTAATTACCACTCAGTCTTGGCCCAGAAACATTTTTCTGAAGAACATTCCCTGTCCCATTATTTGTCTTTCCTATGAGGTAACAGAAGCTCTATCATAACAGCATCTCATTCATTCATTTATAAGTTTACTCATTTGTTCAACAATTACTTAATATTAGCCAAGAATTTTTCTAGGTACTAAAGATACAGCTGTGAATAAGATAGACACTATGTCTGCTTCTTTTAAGGTTTCCATTGTGATGCTGCTGGTGGTAGTTGGGGGTTGCAAGGTATAAACAATTACATTTTAGAATAACCATGGTTTCCATGGAGGAGTGGGCAGACTCCAGGGGATGTAAAAATTAATAAGCTGAGCCTTGGAAGAGAAGTGTTGGAAATTGTACTTACATTTTTATCTCATGCTTTTTAAATTTCAGTTTTATGTATATTTTATAATACATTTTCCATATTAAAAAACTTTGTAAATAATTTAATATTTATGAAATACATTACTATTTCCTAATATGTGTTCTAGCCAGTTAAGTTTTGTCTAAGGTGGGTTAGGCAACGTTGAATAGGTTTCTGTTACAGCAGAATTTTTCATAACTTACAACTTTTTAAGAGATGGATATAATATTCTGTTTGCTTCAACCATGTAATGTATTTCAGGATACTGGAGGAGTAAACATGACCTTCTGAACTGCATTTGTGTCCACAATTCACTTAGCCATTTCTGTGTTGGGCTGAATTGGCTTTTCTCAATTCATTGTTTGATTCTTCACTATGGGAACTACATTGCCTAAAATCATTTTCTTGGGAACTACATGTCCCAGAATCCCTGACCTGTAGTGTTGTAGGTAACATTCTGTCAATGAGAAGCACAAGTGAGAGATTTGGAAGGTGAGAGAAAAACATAAGCCACTATTCTTGAATGACAGCTGTGAGCAAATGGAATTCTATGTTACAAACAATTATTAATGATGATTGTAATATATAATACAGTGACAAAAAATAATAAACTAGATTAAAACAGCATTTGTGGCCTCTACATATTATTGCAGTGATCTCCAAAACATAGGTCTAAATTTACATTCCCTCTTGTAGTAAATTAAAAAAATGCATATTTGAGTTCATCCTATTGAATAGTTTCATTTCTTAAAAGTATTTGCAATTTGAAAGATAAAAAATGAAATATTTTTGTTGCATAGCTTTACTATTCTTTGATACTGAATGCTTTTCAAATGTTTATTGGTGTATTGGTAAGAAATGTCTTTGGCCAAAAATAACAGAAAACGTAGTTGTGGTTTAAGGAAGTGTGAGCATTATTTTTCTCACATGGCATTTCCTCACATAACAAGAGTGAAATTGATTCAACTGCTCAAAAGCAACATTAGAAACACAAGTTCTTTTTATATCTTCACTTCGCCATCCTGAATATCCTGACTTTTGCCGTCATTCTTGCTGCCTTGTGGTCACAATACAGCAGCTATAGTACCGATCTGCTTTTTTTTTTTTTTTTGTTCTGGGAGAAAAAAGAAGGAAAAGCAAGAAGAAGAAAAGGGAAAAAAATATATTTTTTCTTGTGTCCTATGGCCACCAGTAGCTGCAAGGGAGGCTAGGACCACTGTTGTATGTTTCAAAGAACTAAGAAGAGAATCGTTTAACAAGAATATAAAGTTAGGCATCTTTGCTTAATTGCATATTCTCTTTGCAAATTGTTTAAGACTTTTATCCATTTATTTCAGTTTCAGTGATTTTCAAATTTTTGTATTAGGTCTATAAATAGTAATTATATTAACCATTTATCATTTTTTGGTCTACATATTTTTCTAATTCTTCCTTCAATTATATTTATGTAATATTTTTTAAAGAATCACAAACTATATGTTTACATATTTTATCAATTTCTTTGGTAACTTTTTTTCCATTGTTTTAATCATAGACATTTTAAAAAACTGCATCACATGATTTAATTGTAAAATTTGCATACAGTGAAACGACAAAGTTTTGTTCCTGGTTTCTTTTGGTTATCATAATGTTTGTGCATTTTTTAATATTCTCATATGTATTAGGGGTTAATTATTTTTTATTAACAAATCAACTTCCACTATAAGAATAAGCCACACTTTTTTGTGTAACCTTCTATTGAGAAACATTTGGGTTTCTTCCAGTTTTCTACTATTATGAGTAATGTGGCTATAAAAAATCTTGTAGAAATCTTTTTTTTTGAGTGGATATATGTTTTTACTTCTTTTTGAAATAACTGAGAGTGAAATTGGTGGGTCACAGTGTAAATGTATATTTAATGTTGCATGAAACTGCCAAATCAATCATTTTCCAATGTGGTTGAACCATTTTATACTCTCTTCAACAATATATAAGAATTCCAGTTGTTCTTTACCCTCACATGCATCTGGTGTTGTCATTTTTTTCTTTCTCATTTTAATAATTCTAGTGCATGACAAATGAGATCTTGTGGTGGTATCAATTTGCATTTCCCTGATGCATAATGGCATTAAACACCTTTTCATATGTTATTTGTCATTTATCTTGTTTTGCCAAGAGTCTGTTTAAATCTTTTGCACTTTTTAAATTACGTTGTTTATTTTTATTACCAATTTACGGGAGTTCTTAAAATATTCTGTACTTAAGTCATTTTTCAGGTTTTTTTTGTGTCACTACTATCTCTTAGTTTCTGGCTTGCCTTTTCATTTTATTAATTGTGTCTTTTGAAGAGAGAAATTCTTAATTTTTATGAAGTTTAACGTTTTATTTTCCTTTAAGATTTAATGCTTTTTTTGTATCGTTTATAATTTCAACTTTAATTTTAGATTCGGGGGTACATGTACAGATTTGTTACACTGGTATATTGTGTGACACTGAGGTTTGGGGTACAAGTGATCCTGTTACCCAGTTAGCAAGCATAGTACCCAAAAGGTAGATTTTCAGCCCTTACTCTTTACCCCTCTCCTCCTTCTAGTAGTCCCCAGTGTCTATTATTCTTATCTTTATGTCCATATGTGCCCCATGTTTAGCTCCCACTTATAAGTGAGAACATGGATCACTCAGTTTTCTGTTTTTGCATTAATTCACTTGGGGTGATGGCTTCCAGCTGCATCCATGTTGCTGCAAAGGACATAATTTTATTTATTTTTTATGGCCACAGTTTATAAGGAATTTAAACAATTCATCAAGCAAAAACCAAATAATGCTTTTAAAAAATGGGCAAAGAACATGAATGGACACTTTGCAAAAGAAGACATATTAGGTTGGTGCAAACGTAATTGCTGTTTTGGACCATGAATTTTAAATCATGATAACAGGCTCAAACACATCTTTATTAATCAAAATAGGAACGATTATGATCAACATTTTTTTGCCAATAATTTTTTTTTTTTTTTTTGAGATAGAGTCTCACTCTGTCGCCCAGGCTGGAGTACAGTGGTGCGATCTTGGCTCACTGCAACCTCTGCCTCCCAGGTTTAAGCAATTCTTCTGCCTCAGCTTCCTGAGTAGCTGGGATTACAGGCGCGTGCCACCATGCCCAGCTAAGTTTTGTATTTTTAGTAGAGACGGGGTTTCACCATGTTGGTCAGGCTGGTCTCAAACTCCTGACTTTGTGATCCGCCTGCCTCAGCCTCCCAAAGTATTGGGATTACAGGTGTGAGCCACCATGCCTGGCTGAAAAAATGTTTGTTTATTCCTGTAGCATAAAACTTCATGCTTTGGGATTCAACAAACTCTTGGAAAGCATTTCCTGCATCCTGCTGGTGTGGAAGCGTTTTCCCTGCAAAAAGTTGTTGAGATGCTTGAATAAGTGGTGTCAGTTGGTGAGAGGTCAGATGAGTATGGTAGATGAAGCAAAACTTTGGAGTCCAATTTGTTCAACTTTTGAAGTGTTGGTTGTGCGATGTGCAGTTGTGTGTTGTCATGGAGAAGAATTGGACGCTTTCTGTTGACCAATGCCAGCTGCAGGTATTGCAGTCTTCTGTGCATCTCATCGATTTGCTGAGCATACTTCTCAGATGTAATGGTTTTGCCTGGATTCAGAAAGCTGTAGTGGATCAGACCAGCAGCAGACCACCAAACAGTGACCAGGAACATTTTTTGATGCAAGTTTGGATTTGGGAAGTGCTTTGGAGCTTCTTCTTGGTCCAGCCACTGAGCTGGTCATTGCAGGTTGTCATATAAAACCCACTTTTTGTCTCATGTCACAATCCGATCAAGAAATAGTTCATTGTTGTTGTGTAGAATAAGAGAAGATGACACTTCAAAATGGCGATCTTTTTTAAATTTTCACTCAGCTCATGAGGCACCCACTTATAGAGCTTTTTCACCTTTCGTATTTGCTTCAAATGCTGAATGACTGTAGAATGGTTGACATTAAGTTCTTCGGCAACTTCTCGTGTAGTTGTAAGAGGATCAGCTTACAATTGTTCTCAGTTGGTCATTGTCAACTTCCAATGGCCGGCCACTACGCTTCTCATCTTCAAGGCTCTTGTCTCCTTTGCAAAACTTCTTGAATCACCACTACACTGTATGTTAGCAGTTCCTGGGCCAAATGTGTTGTTGATGTTGTGAGTTGTCTCTGCTGCTTTATGACTCATTTTGAACTTCAATAAGAAAATTGCTCAGATTTGCTTTTTGTCTAACATCATTTCCATAGTCTAAACTAAACATAAAATAAAAAGCAAGTAATAAGTCATTAGCCAAAAAAAGTGAGAAATGCCCATTAAAATGATGTATAACATAATCACATTTATTTAAGAATGTATTCCAATATCAAACCACAAATTCCAACCACGCAAAAACTGCAGTTCTGTTTGCACCAATGTAATACAAACAGCCAACAAACATATTAAAAATGCTCTACACTGCTAATCATCAGAGAAACACAAATCAAAACCATGATGAGATGCCATTTCACACCAGTCAGAATGGCTATTATTAAAATGTCAAAAAGCAACAGATGCTGGTGAGTCTGTGGGGAAAGGGAACACTTATACACTGTTGGGAATGTAAATTAGTTCAGCCACCGTGGAAAGTAGTTTGCAGATATCTCAAAGGACTGAGAACAGAACTATCTATATCTTTAGGAGATCCTTGTCTTCCACAAGCTAGTTAAGATTTTCTGTTATATTTTATTCCACGTGCTTTTTAATTTTAGCTTTAACATGTAAGTCCATGATCCATCTCAAATTAATTTTGTGCAAGGCATGAGGCAGAAATCATTTCATTATTTTTCCTTTGTTTATCCAGGTGGTCCATCACTATTTGTTAAAAACCTTTCCTTTCTTCATTGAATTCCCATGATGTCTTTGTCCAAAGTCAATATATGGTGTATGTATGGGTTTATTTCTGAACTCTCTTATTTCATTGATACATCATCTATCTTTGTGACACTATTGCACTATCTTGACTACGATAGCTTTAAGTCCTTATATCAGGTAGTATGTCATCTAATCTTGCTTTTATTTTAAAAGATTGTTTTTAGAGAAATCCATTTCTGGAAATATGAAGTAGATGTAGTATTTTCTAATCTTTCCACTAGGTTCAACTAAAAAGCCTGGATATTATATTAAAAACAAATACAAAGAGACCCTGAAGACAGGAAAGAGACAAACCGGCTAGGGATCTCAAACTCAAGGAGCAGTGTTGTGATGATTTCTGGGGGTTTATGTTTGCCTATCTATCCAACACTTGGAGTTAAAGAAGCCAGAGACCCAGAAACGCCTATGGGCGCAGACAAAAAGAGACTCAAAGGAAACTTATTCTCCAGCCAAAAGACCAGGAAAATGGCGGCTTTTGAAGACAAAACTTTTAAACAATAAATGAGCTTTATGCCAGCAAAACACCACAGAAAAATCTATGGTCCCCACCCCATCCACTTGAACAAAAGCCTAGTAGGGAGAATCAACTTTCATCTTAATCAAAGGGTGCAGTGGTACATTCTAACCCATTTGCCACCCTGTCACTGTCAGTAAATCGCCTGTAAAGAGTTAGAAGTTTTTCCCCATATGGTGGAAAGAAGCTGAACCCCACCCCACCTTCTCTTGCTGTGTCAGTGGAGAGCATTTGAGGAGCTCCACCCAGTAGTAATGAGGTACCCCCTTCTCTTCATTGCTGGAGGATTGTCAGAGGAAACATACTGGCAGGTAAAGACTTTCACCACCTCCCAACATTAATGAGGCCACCCCTCTTTGTTGTCAGTGGAGGCCATGTCGGGGGCCAGTAATCTCATTCCTGCTCAGCAATAATGAGGAGTTTCATGGGTGTTGTTATAGCCCAATGGGGCTTCTTGCCTGCCACACAGAAAAGCCAATACACTGTGACAGTGGTGTTGCATCAGAGAAAGAGTTTATCTCAAAGCGGCTGAGTGAGAGGACAGGAGATATTTCTCAAATCTGCCTCCCCAAGAGCTCAGAGGCTAGGGTTTTTAAGGATAATTTGGCAGGCCAGGTGCTAGGGAATTAGTGCTGCTGATTGGTTGGGGATGAAATTGTAGGAGTGTTGGAATTGTCCTCATGTACTGAGTCACATTCTGGGTGGAGGTCACAGGACCAGTTTAGTCAGTTCCTTATTATAAGTCATGGGTCCAAGTGGCATAAGTCAGTTTGCCAGAGTGCAAAAGTTTAAAAATATTCAAGGACCAGTCTTAGGTTTACAATAGTGATGTTATCTATAGGAGAAATTGGGGAAGTTACAAATCTTGGAACCTCCGGCTATATGACTCCTGAGCAGTAAGCAAGCTAGGGAACAATGGCTGATTGTTGCGTATGCATACGTCTTAGTATAATTCAGTCCCTTCTCTGTAATTCTAACCTTGTGGGCTTTCATAGTTTTACAAAGGCAGTTTTAGTCCCTGAACAAGGAGGGGGCTATTATCATCTTTGCTTTAAGGTTTAATTATAAACTAAATTCCTCCTCTGGTTAGCTTGGCCTATGCCCAAGAATGAGCAAGGGCATTTGGCTGGTGAGGTTAGAAGCAAGATGGAGTCAGCTGTGTTAGATTTCTCTCATGGTTGTAATTTTTCAAAGGTGGTTTCAGTGTCAAGAGATGTCAAGTGGGAAAACTGGACTTTTATCCCTACCTAGCATTAATGAGGTGGCGAATCTCAATTTCAGCCTGAATGGTATCATGGGAAGCCAACTCAAATGAAGGTTTAAATAAAATTCAGGCTCTTATAATACTCATAATGTCACATTTTAGTAGAAAACCACTCATCATACAAAGAACCAATCTCAAACTGAGCAAGAAATGATATCAAACAGATATCAACACTGATATGGATATGTTGGAATTATATGACAAGGATGTAAAAATAGCCATCATGAAAATGCTTCAGTGAAAAATTATGAAAATGTTTAAAATAAGTGAACAAATAAAAGAAATTCTCAATAAAGAAATAGATGACACACATAAATAGGAGCCAAATAGAAAGTTTTAGAATTGAAAAATGCAATAACAAGTATAACACTCAGTGGAGGGGCTAAACAATGGAATGGATGAACAGGGTCAATGGTTGGGCTAAGCAGTGGAATTGAGGGAACAGAGGAAAATGATCAGAGAATGGGGAAATAGAACAGTGGAAATTATCTAGTCTTAACAACAGGGATTAGAAGAACTATTATAGATGGCAGAATTTTCTTCTTTTTAAAGACTGAATAGTATTTCCATTATATACATATTGGATTATATATTATTATATATATATTATATATTACATAATGTGGGGGTGTGTGTGTGTATATACACACACACAAATATATTCATCCTTCACCCATTGATTTATACTTAGGTTGGTTCCATATCTTGACTATTGTGAATAATGCTGCAGTGAACATGGGAGTGCAGATATCTCTTTAACATATTGATTTCAATTCCTTTGTATATATACATAGTAGTGGGCTTGTTGAATCATATGGTAACTCAATTTTTAACTTTTAAAGAAACTTCCATCCTGTTTTCCATAATGGCTGTCATAATTTACATTCCCACCAACAAAGTGCAAGGATTCCTGTTTCTTTATATTCTCTCCAACACTTGTTATCTTTCATCTTTTTGATAATAGCTGTCCTAACATGTATCAGGTGATATCTCTTTGTGGGTTTAAACAGCGTTTCTCTGATGATTAGTGATTTTCAGCACTTCTTTCATATACCCATTTGTCATTTGTGTCTTCTTTTGAGAAATGTCTATTCAGATTCTTTGCCCATTTTAAAAATCAGGTTACTTGTTTTCTTGCTATTGAGTTGTTTGAGGTTTTTTTTTTTTTGTTTTTTTTTTTTTTAGATGGAGTCTTGCTCTGTCACCCAGGCTGGAGTTCAATGGCGTAAGCTTGGCTCACTGCAACCTCCGCCTCCTGGGTTCAAGCCATTCTCCTGCCTCAGCCTTCCAAGTAACTGGGACTGCAGGCATACACCACCATGCCCAGCTAATTTTTGTATTTTTAGTAGAGACGGGGCTTCCCTATGTTGGTCGGCTGGTCTTGAACCCCTGACCTCAAGTGATCCACCCGTCTCAGCCTCCCAAAGTGCTTGGATTACAGGCGTGAGCCACTGTGCCTGGCCAGTTGTTTGAGTTTTTATATACAGATGAACTTTAGAATTATTTTGTAACATTAAAGAAAAATCTCATGCATATATTCAGGGTATATTGTTTAATTTTTAAGTTAATATGGAGAAAATTATTCTTATTATATCATTTCATGTACAGAATAAATCTGAGAGAAAAAAATTCTGACTTACTTCTGAGTAATTTTGCTTGGTCTACAAAGGGGGTCTCTATACTAAAGCTATTTCCATCCACCATTACAGAGAGATCTACTGGGGTTTTTTTTTGGTTTGTTTTGTTTTTTTGAGGGGACAACAATGACTGGGAAAAAATTTTAAGCAGGCAGTGATATAACAAACCAGTTCATTTCCAAAATGCCTGAATATATAGGTATTAAGTTTTATGCTACATTATTTTTTTACTTAGTCACAAAAGACTTACTTATCTGTAATGTTTAATTTTATATGTTAACTCGACTGGGTCACAGAACGCCCAGATATTTGGTTAAACATTTTTTTGGGTGGGTCTTTGAGGGTTTTTCTGGATGAGATTAACATTTGAATGAGTAAAGAAGATTGCTCTCCTTGACGTGAGTGGAACTCATTAAATACATTGGAGAAAGGAAAAACAAAGGACCAAAGAAGAGAGAATTCCCTCTCTTTGCCTAACAGTCTTTGAGCTGGAACATTGGTCTTTTTAGACCTCTGGAATCAGACTGGAACTTTCACCATCAGCTCTCCTGGTTCTCAGGCCTTTGGAGTATGAATTTTGGGATTTTTCAGCCTCCATAATCACATGAGCCAATTCCTTATACATTTCTCTCTTTGTCCTCTCTCTCTCTTTCTGTTTTTCTCAGTCTCTGTCTTCCTCTGTCTCTGTATCTTTCTCTGTGTTTCTGCCTCTCTCTTTGCCATTCTCTCAATTTCAGTCTCCCTCTCTCTGTATGTATGTGTATATATATATGATCAATTACAACAGAATGGGCCTCCTGTGGTAATTATTGTTGTAGAGTTTGAGTTTATGGAAAGATTTAATAGGTATGTATTTAAAATAATTCTTCACTGGAGCAAACCCTCATAGAGTATTTATAGTATTGGAAACTCTAGTTGACTCCATGGAAATATTCCTACATTGACATCATAAAGCTTTTTCAACTTATTTTTTTGTACTTTTAAGTGGAAAAGTCAACTTGGATGATTATGATCTCCATTTAAACATATGCCGTTGAAGACTAACGTGAATTTATAGTGTTGAAATACTAATAAAACCTTCAGCTTGAATTGAAATATTTTTCAGAGTCATGATTGATAGAATATTTATTTCCCCTTCCATGTTTTGAAGATTTAGTATACTCTCTACAGAACTGCTAAATATACATGTCCTTTAGTTCAATTCAATTCAGAGAGAACATGCTTTCCTTTTTTGTATGTTTGTGTACGTGCTACAGCTCATAATGACCATATTGCGGTTTGAAAATATTCATCTTTTTTAGTTTTACCAGGAAATACAAAGCTTTGCTGCTTTTAGCACTGAGTTAAAACTCCATGTAGAAAATGTCAAGCCCTCAGAGAAGTTATTCTGATGAAATGAGAGAGGAGACTTGGCTTCCTAAATTATTTTGCCTTTTGCATACTTTTTCTTTCTTTACTCATTATTTGTTGGGTGTGGGTGACAATAATCTAAAAGAAAACATCTGGTTAGCATGTGACTTGCATCACCAAATCTCTAAAACTAAAGGATATGTGATTCATTATTGTCTTCTTTTCTTTGAAGCAAACATTCTACATTTCTTTACTGGAAAAAAGTGCAATACTATACTTTATGAAAATTAGAAAAAATGGGAGAGGATCTTGGGGTTTGACTGAACGTAATAACCATCTAGACATAAGGAAAATACATATATCAATTATCAAAAAATTGATAAAACACTGTTACACAATTGTGAAGGCATGGATGAAAATGAGGAGAATTAGATGATCTGTAACAAAAATAAAACAGTAATAGTAATAATACTAATCATTTATTGAACACTCATTATATGCTAGACACTGTGCTAGGCTAAACATGAATTTTCTCATATATAATTTTCAGGGAAACCCTGTCATCCAGATACTATTATTATTATTATCATTTTTGAGTCTCAGAGAATGACTTACTCAAAGATAAAAGTTTATTTGTAAAGTAACATTGGAATTAACAAAGCTGTAGAATATTAGAAGGAGGATAGATCTGATAGGAAATTTAGTCAAGTCCTAAAATAATGCCAACAATCTCAGTAGTTATAATTGCTAATATTTATTAGCAATTATAATTGCTAATATTTATTAGCAATTATAATTGCTAATAGTTATTCACTAATATTATTTATTGTGTGTTTATTATATGTCTTTCACTTACTTTGTAGGTATTGTCTCATTTATGGTCATAGTGAGTCTATGAGCTAGGCACTATGTTCATTCTTATTTTACAGACAAGAAAATTAAGGCACTGAAAGATTATGTAAGTCTCTTAAGAATCAAAATCTTAGAGAATGTCCTTCAAAACATCATGACGTCTCCTTTCCCAAATTCTGAACCAGCTGAGAAAGAAACTGAGATAGTCATCTAAGGGGCAAATCAAAATATCACTTTATGAGCAACATATTAGAATGTGGCTTATTTCTGTGGGCAACTGGACCTCCAAAGAATGAACCTTAGGAATGGTTCTGCTTTCCTGGGGAGGCCTATCTAAATGGGGCTGTGAACTTGCAAGAAGAAGGACATGGCGGAGCTGAAGCTGACAAGCTCTCTTTTTGGTGGGCCCATTCCTGAGTGATAAAAAGGGTGGGCATTGGTCCTTGAGTGATCACTTTCTCCTACTAAATTCACTAGCCAGATATGCCATTCACCCTCAGGGTTAAGTGAGGTGATGGACAGAGGCCTGGAGGATGAAGCCAATGAAATATCTCCATGTAGAAGGGAACAGCAAGAGTATAGAACAAATGTTTTCCTCAACAAGCTGCTTAGTGGTGAAGCAGATCCACTAACAGATGTACACTGGCATTCTTTCTAGTATGTCCGTAAGATAGTGTGTATAAAGCACCTCGTACATTGTGGCACTTGGAAGCACACAATAAATGGTAGTTGTTGATATTATTATCAGTATTGAGCTGTTGCCTTAGTGTTGGAGTCAGGCTTTTCTGACTTCTGATCTCACATGTTGAACCCTGTATTGTTTCTCAAAGCGTGTCCATGGGAGGAAGTGTTTTTTCATCATATCGGCTAATGATCTTTCAACAGAGTAGCTTTCTCTTGTAATCAAATGTCTAAGACTGGACAATGAGGTGCAGAAATATATAGTGTGAATCGATATCTTTCAGTGGCTGCACAGGGAGCCTCTGGACGTCACTCAGTGGGAAGGAGTCCATTCTGTAGTGGCCCAGCAGCAGTTTTGGAAACTCAGGCTTTGTTCTTTCCAAATCAGGCTTAACCAGGTCTTGGGTAAAACAAAAATAATGTTTTTTCTTTTTTTTTTTTTAAAGCAAACTACTGCTTTGTCCATGAACACCTTGTCAACTTCAAAGATTCACTTCTGTTGGAAATAAACAGCATGAGCAGAAGGCTGCCAAGTTACAGAAAATTTGAAGATTCTTGAAGATTCTTTGATGACAACAAGTACTTTTTCATTAATTTGAAAGGATATTTTATGAATAGCCAACAGTTCTAAGAAAAAAAATGAAGTCAAAGATACTCACTGAACAGTTCTAAGAAAAAAAATGAAGTCAAAGAAAAAAAAAGCTCATTTTTTCCATGTGAATTTCTGAGGTGATGGACTTTAACTAAGCCATTAAGATTTTTAGGTGTTCGTGTGTGGGTGTGTGCGTGAGAGAGACAGAGAGCGAGCAAGTGCATGACAGCGGCTGGTATGGATGTCTGTATGCCTGATTTGCTGCTTCCACTGCTCTCATTTATAAGGAGCCCACTATGTGCTAGGCACTGTACTATTTACCTGAATTATTTCATTTAAGATTTGTGACTTCTGCTACTGTCATTTTTAATGAGCTTACTGTGTGCTAGGCACTGTGCTATTTACCTGAATTATTTCATTTAAGACCTTGTCTGTCTTTCTCACTCCCGTATCCCCAGTGTTTGGCACCGTGTCTTATGCATAGATACTTGGTAAATCTTTGTTAGTTGTTGAATAAATGAAATAATAAGAATGGAAACCATTAGTCAATATGGAGGTATTAAACCAGTGATGTACAAGGTTTCTGATATTCTATAGTTTTCAATTCCTGCTCCTAGTTAAACAATGGACATTTATTGAGCACCTACTATGTGGCTGGAGATGTATAAAACTCTGAGGACATAGCTAAACAATTCACAATCTCCAGACTTAATGAATTCAACTTATTGCCCAGCATATGCCAATATTAACTGGTGAGTCTTGAATGTAATTAAAATCTCACAATTTATTTGATGCTTTCTCTATTAAACAGGCTTGGCAGGGTGGCTTCTTGATGTTGAAGTGCTGAAAATGCTGATTTTTAATGGTTTTCAATTGAAGATGTGGTGATGACAACATCCCAAACATAACTTTGTTCTTCCAAGAGGTAAGAAAAGCGACATTCGTCTGTCTAATTTTACATTTTACCAACTAAGTCAGGCAATCAGAAATGGGCTTTACTTGTGTGGAACAAAAAGTATCTCAGAAGAAGGAGGAGAAGGAGGACAGCAGCAGCAGCAGCAGGAGGAGGAGGAGAAGGAGGAGGAACTATCCTTTATTATTTTTTAAGGATCCACCTTGGTTCCAGGCATCATGCTGGCCACTTGACATGTTATCTTTAATTCCTAAAACATCCTGCAAGGTATGAATTATTATTCCAGTTTTGCAGATGAGGAAAACCAGTATTGGAAAGGATACTTGCCTTGTTCTTGCCACACAGCTGTAAGTGGTAGGAGCAGAGAACTCACACCAAGGTCTGGCTTCAAAAGCTTTGTCTTTCATCAGGCAGGGCTGCCCTAACTCTTGATCGATCAGCATGTGATCAAGGACATTTTACATAATCTAAACTCCTTTTTATTTCATTCATTTCTCATAAGTCTCAAGACTATTTATTAAATTCCTAACCTTCTTTGTTAGAAAGATTGTAGCTAGACCGAAGAATCAGAAAAAAATTTAGATTATATCAAAGATGTATCTAATTTTCACTACATTCTGAGTAGCTAAAAGTGTAGATGTTGAATTAATATTTTATAATATATTACCAAGTATATAATGCGTAATAAAACACATACATATTCCAAGCAGAGAATAGATGGGTACCTTTCCTTATATTTTAGCTCACCATATTCAGCTCACATATTTTTAAATAATTTATCTCCAACTTCTAAAAATATGGCCTTTATTCCTTGATCTTAATCCTGTTTTTCATTCATAGGAAAGTGCTATTTTTATGGGCCAGTGAAGCTTATATACCATTGAGTGACATTTAGATACTACAGTTATTTCTGTGTGAGGAGAATTAATCTCTTCAAGAAGGAAACTCAGAGTCCTTCCCTCTGTTGCCAGGCCCATCGCAGAATATCTCCAGTTATGTTTTCTGTTGAGAGAGCACAGCCTTCAATAGTGTTTTAAAATTTAAATGTGAAAAAGTTTTAAGAGCCAATGTAATATTTTGTTTGTTGAACCACTTTTGTATCATATTTTGTGACAGTTAATTAACAAATATGTATAAATGTTTTTATGTATAAATTAATTTTTATTAGAAATTAATGGTACTTGTGTCAGGATTGTGAAAGTATTGAGTGTGAAAGTATGTGAGCAAGTGAGTAAAAATTTCTGCAGTTGGAAATGAATGAAAAATCTGCTGGAATATGTTTATGAAAAGGGAATTATAGCTTTTGCACTGATTTAAAATTTTAAGGATCAAGTAACTGAGTTTGATTCTTTTTAAACATTGATTTGATTTTTACAATTTAGTTTTATTTTCAGTCCTGTCTCCAGTAATCATTTCATTTTCTTTCTTTCTTTTTTTAAGGAGAGCTCTCTGACTTTTTTCTTTCTTCAGGCAGTGGAACACAGGCTGGTTAAAAGTACAATTTTTCTTCCTTTATCTGCCATTCTCCTTTCTTCCCTCCTGCCCTTCTTGAAGCTTTATTCCTTGGTTCCTCTGCAACAATACATCCATTACTGATGGCTAAACAGACCAAGTATAAACAACACTGAGAACGTTCTCAGTTTGGCTTTTTTTTTTCCTTTGGTCTTTTTTTAGTCTGGCCTTTGGCAAAGGTTCATGACAGTAAATTGCTGTATGAAAAATGTTAGTTTGGTCACTGGTTGGTAATTGGGAGTGGACTTGAACGCATGGTCTTGGTTCAGATTTCCATAGTGAGGAGAGGTCACTGTCCCAGTTGGAAAGAAATTAGCCTTGAGCTCCCGAGTCCTCTGCTGTCAGGACCCCCTGGGATTGCTTTGTCTGCGTATTTACCTTTTGGTATCAATTTTATACATGTGATCACTAAGCTTTGTTTGAAAATGTGATATAACTGAGGTGGTAAGATTAACAAAATGGAAGGCAGAATGAGAAAAACGAGAAAGATCAGTTTTGGTAGTGAAAACCCCAAAGAAAGCTTAAGTCCAGCACGAACCAGATTTTCTTGTTGGTATTCAGCTTTTAGGTAAATGACAGAAGTAGGATGTTTGAAGCAAAGAGTGGAAGAAGATGATGGAAACAATCCTAATCATTAAAGCAAGCGACAAAAACAGCAGAATAGGCGAGTGGGCCTCTGTGTCAGGAGCAGGTGAGGCTAATATATCAGTTCCTGACAGTTGGATACATCAGGTTGCACAAATTACAGGCTTTTACCGAGTGAATTTTGGAGCAAGCTTAAGGTTTTAATATGAATTCCTTCTGGTGACAATTATCAGAAGGAACTGTGTTACACATTGTGAAAAGAGGGCACAGATCTCAGGTCACTGAATGCTCAGCCTTTTAGTTGTGCTTGGATCATCTTGTGTAGCAAAATGCACGGCTGATTTAAACGACAAAATGGAGGCAGACGTTTTTAGAGAAAGAAAGGGGAGGTGTGCACAAGCTCTTTAGACTTTACTTTTGCGTAGGTATCATGGGAAAACAGATAGCTAGGCCAAAGAAACATACACAAACAACACATTCTATTTACATCTGTGTCCTTTAAAAACGCAATTACTTTATAATCAGTTATTCTTTTAGCAGGAGAATTTTTACATTGCCAGCTCCCCACCTCTCCAGATGACAAAAATAATCAGCTTCTTTCCTCAGTTTCAGTGATTAAGCATATGTGGAATTTTTCGATATGTTAAATTTTAATTTCTTTGTTGTGATTGTTTTATGACTTTGAAGGTTACTTTAAAGCATTTTGTATTTGATTTCCTAACAGTTTAATAGAGTATCTGTACCTTACAAGGAGACTAATCAAGTGAAAGATGTTGTTGTATGAGAAATAGGAGAGGGCATAAAATGGGGTAACCCATAGCTGATTTTCCTTATCATTGGAAGAACAAAAGGAATGACTTTAATGAAAAAGAAAAAAAAATAATGAAATAAATACCAGGCACACTTAGAAATGGTGTTATGGGAATGTAGCCGTGTGTGTGTGTACGTGTGTGTAGCCGTGTGTGTGCGTGGGTGTGTGTGTATGTGTGAGAGAGACAGAGAGAGAGATTGAGGGAGGGAGGTATTTTATGAGGATATCATTGGCTTAAACATACGTGGTTTCAAGGATCCCAGGATTCCATTCTTTCTACCTTGAGACTTTGTTCTAAAGTTTTCCTTTGTGCTCTTTTTGTTTAGTTGACATATTTTCTTTTCTAGTTGGTTTCTTATAAGCCCTTCACAGTTTTTTAGTATTTTTCTGCACATGTACAGTAAGTAGGATATGTTCAGTGTGTTTTTAATTTTTTAAATGTTGAATTTAAGGTGGGCCAGGGAGCTTCCAGTCCTTGCTAATGAAGCTTAAGCTACATTTCCCACAGGGTTTCAGACATTGCGTTCTGGCATATGAGTCTCTAGGAATCAACTTGCATTGGGAAAAAGCTACTTCCCAGTAAAGAGTCAGTGCTTCAGATGTGCTCTAAAAACAACGTTCAATGCTCAGTGGTGAGGGTTAATGTAATGTCAGTCAGCTTTGTGACTTTCCTTACTACTTTCTTGCAAGTAAAATATTAGAAACATGAAACAGCTCTGTTTTGGTATGGATATAACACAGCACCACACATAGGGGAAGTGGATATTTTTGTATCTTTGGACAGAACCCAGCATGGTTTGGTGTATCCAGGCATTCCAGAAAACAGCACAGCTGTGGCATATTCATGGTTCAGCCTCCCAGAAAGGACACAGTTCCCATGTGGACAAGACTAGGTTAGGGTAGCAGCCAGCTTCCAGGCCCAGCAGAACAAGCATTGGAGGCACTACCATCTGTGAGAGATGTGCTTGGTACCTTTGGGAGTTCCATAAAACATCACTCTTGGCATAGAAGTCAGAGCTCTGATTGTCAAGAGATTACATGATGCAGCAGCAGTTGACATAAGCCTTGGGGCAAATCAGCTCATAAGAGATTCAGGCCAATTGTTGGCCTAGCACCTTATAAGGCTTTGGTGCTGCACAGTGTCTTCTGTGCCAGGGATGTCAGGCACCAGGCTGGGCCACATAGACCATAGACACAGATGCCACTAAAGAGAGTGGGGGCAGGGGAGGAGGAAAAGACAGATACCTGTGGTGGTCATGAAGGCTCAATTCTAAACCTATGCAACTTTTCCTGGGGACTGCTCAAAATAATTGGGGGTGGGCATGGGGTGGGGTGGTGATTAGGATGCTACATGTCAGGCAGTAATGGGTGAGCCCTAGGGTAAAAAATACTCTTTTTTAAGTGTAATTTTACCACCATCTACCTCATTTTTTGTCTTCTCACTTCTACTTCTACTGCTTATCAGCCTGGAAAGAAAGGCCCAGTGAAATATGTCACGTGCAACATTGATCACTTGGCCTTACTTATATTTTTGGGCGGAAACAGGCACAAAATCCCTTGCAGCTGGGCTACAGTATCAGGAACACTGAAAAAAAGTTACTGCTTTGAAGTTTTTAATTTCTTACATAGGACTCACTTTCTGCCTTTGATACTACACTTGAGTCTAAACAAATATTTACTTAAATAACCAGTTAATAGATTTTTGGAAATATTTAAAAACATATTGCTTTGCAGTTTTAGTCAAATTTAAGTACAGTAGGGTGGAGAAAATACCTTATTCACTATTTTTTCTTCCAAAGACTGGCATAATACTCAATGTTAGGTGTTGAGAGACCTTCAACTTTAGGCAGTATTTATTAATTTGATCCATATAAAACATAAAGGCAACTTCTTATCTTTTTTTCAGGAATTATAGTTTTGTTAGACTTAGAAATATTACTGAAATATTCTCCTTTAAATCGAAGAAGTCCTGTAAGATAAATTATTACTTAGAGAGAACATTATAACTTTGTCATAAAGATAGGATAAGAATTAACTAATTATCCTCTCTTTTCTGAAGACTGTTTCTCATGGCAGGGGAAGATCAAATATTAGATAGACAGTTGGACTGTTTGCCTTTTTGGCTCGAGAACAAGTGCTAATGTCTCGCAGGAGGCTGAGCAATGTTCACAAGCCATCCATGGTATAGTTTATGACTTACTGACATATGTTATGGGCAATGGAATGGGATGTCTTCTTTTTTCCCTGAGGCTTGTTAAGTATTTAAATGAGCAGACAAAACCATGCATCTCCTTTTTCCAGGCGCCCTGTGGGTCATGCTTTTTCATCTTTCTCCTTATTGAAATAGACAAGAATGGAAATGTTTGCAAATGGGGCTTACTTCCTAATTTAGCAAGCTTCAAAAAAGTGCTAACTTCTTTCCAAATATTTTCACAAAATACTCCTTACCCAGATTCGTTTTCTCACTTCAGATTTTACAGGGCTACAGGCCCTATAAGAAGTTTGGTGATTTCCACTTCCACTACCTACAGTCACATGCTGTCATTCTCCTCTCTGATCCAAGTTATAAGTTGCTGACTTTCCTGTTCTAGAACTTAAGAATTAGGAAGAAAAAATTATAAAACCGCTGCAAAAAAAATGTCCCCAAGTGAGTCAGTGTCAATTAAAGGGACTACCTGATGCAAATAGCACATCAGCACCAATTTTGTCATTTAAGAATTTTAAGATCAGAAGCAATTACATTCAATAGCACCTTGTTTTTATGTGTCTACCCTTCATAGCCTTGGCTAGTAAGCCTGCCTGCACCATAATTTACACTGACATCTAATTTCAGTGGCTCCGCAAGCAATCTAACAGAAGATGGAGATACTGAGAGGAGAGGAGTCCAACTTTGTCACTGCAGACATAAAGATTCATTATTTTTGCCAATTTCAAAACCTTATAAATATGCTTTTTTCCTCTGTTTTGCATATCTCATTACTTGAATTAATTTATTTTTAGGCAAATGATTTCTGCTTACAACTAGATGATTAAACATTTTAGCTGGTTACAAAAAGCACCTAAGTATGGTAACTATGACAGTTAGAGGTTTTTCTGTTTTAGAGAATTTGCTACAAGAAAAGCAAGCACTAATATTTATTTATTTATTTATTCATTTATTATTATTATTATTATTTAGACGTAGTCTTGCTCTGTCACCAGGCTGGAGTGGAGTGGTGCAATCTCAGCTCACTGCAATCTCTGCTTCCCAGGTTCAAGCCATTCTCCTGCCTCAGCCTCCCAAGTAGCTGGCATTACAGGCGCATGCCACCACACCCAGCTAATTTTTGTATTTTTAGTAGAGACGGGGTTTTACCATGTTGGTCAGGATGGTCTTGATCTCCTGACCTCGTGATCCACCCACCTCAGCCTCCCAAAGTGCTGGGATTACAGGCGTGAGCCCCTGCACCCAGCCCACACTAAGTCGTTTTTAAAAACGTGTAGTCACCGAGGAAGTTCTTTTTTGTGGTACACACTATTTGGAATTTCCACCCAGCTCATTGCAGTATGCCCTTTTTGGGGAATGGCGTTCGTACAAGGAAGGGACCCTCTACAGGCCACCCGGGGCCCTGTGCCCACTGCCTTTATCGCTCTACTTGGTAATTAACTCAAGAAAGCAATTGGATTCCTTCCTGGGGAATTTTAAAATTGAAAGTAGAGGGACAATTTCAGGCTTTTTCTGATGGTGAGGTTATCAGATGAGTGCCTTTGAAACTGAAGATTTCATGTTACTGAACATATGGAAGGAATAGGTATGGAGTAGATCAGAGATTCTCAACAGTGGTGCTATGAATACTTGGGGGCTAGAAAATTGCTTGTTGGCATGGGGTTAGGAGTGGGGGCTTATCTTGTGCATTATAGAATGTTTAGCAGTATCCAAGGCCTCTTACCCATTAGATTCCAGTAGCATTCCCCAGCAGTGACAACCAAAAATGTCTCCAGACATTGCCAAATGTCCCTTGGAGGGTACTGTCTCCCAACTGAGATCCACCAAAGTAGAGGAAAACAAAGCTAAATGCATGGAGAGAAGCAGAAACTGGAAATGGCAGGAGCTCCTTACAGATATTGTCCTAAATACATTTGTCCTTCTGTTGTTTCTAAGCCTCAGATCTCTTCCTATCCTTTTTATAGTTACATGAATTATACCAACCTTCTTCCAGTTGGCAGTTTTTCCCCCATTTTTCTCCCTAAAAAATTCAGCTATGGTTCTGCCATTGGTAAACAGAATATTTCTGAGTGATATGATTTTAGATTATGGTAGATTAAGTTTATTTTAAAAGGCCATTTTTTTTCAGTAGGAAAAGATATAGATACTAGAGGTATATTCTTATTCATCAACTTTATTCCCAATTGAGGAATACTTAGAAGTTTTAAATAAATAAATTAATTAAAAAGGTAAATGTGGGTGGGAGGGAATGGAGAGCAATTGTTTAATGGGAACAGAGTTTTAGTTTTGCAAGGTGACAAGAATGCTGTGGATAGATGGTGGTAATGATAGCACAACAATGTGGATGTACTTAATGCCATGTGACTTTACACTGCAAACCACCATGGCACATGTATACCTATGTAACAAAACTGCATGTTCTGCACATGTACCCCAGAACTTAAAGTATAATAGAAAAATAGTTAAGATGGTAAATTTTATGTTATATGCATATTATCAGCATAACAAAAACAAAACAAAACAAAACAAAAAAAAAAACAAAGGTAGGTGAAGGCAAGAGTAAAGGAAAGAAGAGGAAGATTGGGTTGGGCCAGGTTTGGGTTATGCATTCCTAATGAGCTTAATGGTTAGCAATTCATCTTGTAGCAGAGACACCACCCACAGTTTACAAAGTGGACAGCATTTTGCTTCTGCTTGAGATGTTATTATTCCTTCAGTAGTCACATTTGAAGAAGATATATTGAGGTACAGATGAAAACCTTCTGAATGATTTTTTGTCAGTTCTTTTGTGTTTTAAAGCTGCTTCAGGCTACCTTCAGACCTCTAGACCTGTTGCTGAATACAGGAAAGCTATCTTGTCCGTGTATGGATTTAACCCATATAGGATCCTACATCTTGAAATTCACACTTTGAAGATAATTTTGTTTTTGTTTTTGATTTTCCTTTTTCTTCTCCAAAATGGTTTGTTTTCTCAATCCTAGGGATTGATCAGTTACAGCTAGAGGCACTTAAGGCTTTGTCTTTAGAACCCCCAAAACGGACACTTGTTCATCAGGGGTCCCTAGTGTAGAGAGTGAATCGATTCTGACCATGAAGGGAAAAAGGATCTCTACAGGCACAGATTAGTAAAAATGACCATTTCAGATAGGCAGTGGGGCCAAGAAGCAAAGAGAATCTTGTAGAAATCCCGTGCTGGAGGCAAGGTGCATGTCTCTTTCATTCTGAATTCTTCCTAAGATTCCTTTCTCTGTTAATGTAACTTGAAAGTGAATTTATAATATCATCAGATACATATTTTACAGATACAACATAATACACAGATTCCTTGTTTTGAGTAGCTAATTAGAAACTATTTCTATTTAATAGAAATGAAAAAAAGTCCCTGAATAAAGCTTTTATTTTTTCCAGGGTGGGATGAAGAGGCAGATTTATAAAGCCATACAGAGTCCCTTAACTCCTTAATCATTTAGACAGGTAGTCAATTTTCTCAACAGAGGTCATCCTTTGCCCTTATATTTGTAGATGGGGTGGGGGATCAGGCAGTAAGGCCATAATCAAACTCTTTGCTCTTAGAGACAATGGATACAACACAAAATTTTTATAAAACCAGAAAGTAAAGACAAGAAAAACAAAAAGAAATGCCCATTGGATATCCCAATCAAGTTAATCTTCCATAATATTTAACTGTATTACAAATAAAGGAATGGTTTGTGGACAACTGAGGAATTTTCCGTGTGTACTTTAAACCATAGTTATAAAATATTCTGTATTTTTCTTGTCATCCATATTAAATATTCAAGGCTTGAAAAAACGATTGAGGCCTTATTATTACAAATATCTTCTAAACTGAGAATTCCCTAGTGCATGTTTTTCTAAGACATTTTAGGATATACTAGATGCTCTGTTATCTCATTGAACAGATGGGACACAGTATCACATCTCAGATAGTGTGGCCAAATTCTCAGTGCTGCATATTTGTTTCATATCCACTGCCTTTTCTTATGATTTGAGGTGGTGTGAAATTTTGGTTAGATGGTAAATTGGTTGCTTTTGAGGGTCAGGATGTACTTCTTGGAGTTTTGTCTTAGTTGTAAAAGTCCTTCAAATATGTTTACAAGGGAGAAGATGTATATTTTATGAAAAAATAAAGAAATCTGTTTGTATAAGTTCAAATACATTCCTGCATAAAAGCTTGATGAGGTCAGAAGAATTTAAACTTTTGTTGGACAATGGACACCTTTGAGAATCTAGGAAAATTATGTAATTTGTCTTACAAACCTGGACACTTTGAGAGGTTAAGTGGGGTCCGGTGAATAATTACACTGAGAGAACAGACACAAACAAGATTTATCTTGGGAAAACTGGGGGATATTGTCATTTTAAGAATTGGAAACAATGTGCTCATGTCTGCACACTACTTATATTTTATACATCACTTTGCGGAGTTCACATCTTCATATTAAGAAAGCTTGGATTAGATGCATTCATCCAACATTTATTTGTTTTCTGTCTACTTTGTCCCAGGCACTATTTTTAGGTGCTGGAGATATAGCACTGCACAAAACTGAAATATTTCCACCCTCATGGGATTTATATTCTACTGTGGTAGTCTTACAACATGGGAGTTAGTTTGACAATGCAGAATTCTAAAAATGGTACCCAAGATTCCTATCTCCTGGCTATTCAATCAGACACGAATCTATGTACTGCTGTGAAGGGACTTTGCAGATGTAGTTAAGCTTAAGAACTTCAAAATAGAGGGAGGGGCCTGAATTACCCAGGTGGGCCCAATCTAACCACTTGAGCCCTGAGAATCAGAGAAATTTCTTCAGCTGGAGTCAAAGAGATGCAGCAGAAGAGGAAAGCAGGAGAGATGAGGCAAAAGGGGAAGTCAAAGAGATTCAAAGCCTGAGAAAGGCTAGACTTTCCCTTGATGGCTTTGAAGGCGGCCATGAGCCAAGGAATATAGGCAGCCTTTAGAAGTTGAGAAAGACTTTGACTGACAAGCAAAAAGGAGATGGAGGCCTGAGTCTTATAATCACATGGAACTGAATTTGGCCAACAACTGAAATGAGTTTGGATGTGGATTCTTCCTAGAGACTCTTGATAAAAGCCCTGCAGCCTGACACTTTGCTTTCAGCCTTCTGAGAATTGGAGCAAAAGAAGCAACAAAGACCGCTGGACTTCTGACCTACAGAACTGTGAGTTGATAGATTTGTGTTGTTTTCAGCAGCTAAGTTTGTGGTAATTTGTTATGGTAGCAATAAAAAACTGTAAGAACAATAAACAGGAAAAAGAAGCAAAATATTTGCTAGTAGAATGTAAATGCTAAGGAGTAAAAATACAGCAAACAAGGTATTAAACGAGAGAAGAAATGGTATTTTAGGTAGGATTTCCAGGAAGGCCTTACTGAGAAGATTACTTTTGAGAAAGGACCTGAAGACCATGCAGGAGCAAGTCATGAGGATATTGTGGGAAAGGCTTTTCCATGCAGAGAGAGCAGTAAGAGCAAAGGCCCTGAGGCCGGAGCAGGTTTGTTTGATGTGTGAGAGGAGCAGCAGGGAGGCCAGTATGGTGAGGGCAGAGTGACTTTGGGAAAGAGTGTAGGAGATGAGGTAGAGAGAGAATGGGAGTCAATTTTCTGAAGGCCTTATCAGTCGTAGCAAAGGCTGTTGCATTTATTCTGAGTGACAGGAGCTGTGGGAGGGTTTTAAGCAAGGGAGGGAGTAATAGGATTTGCCTTGTGCCTCAGCAGGGTCACTCCAGCTTGTGTATTGAGAATAGACTGCAGGAGGCATGAGTAGAACCAGGGACATCAGCTAGAAGGCTACTGCAAAAATCCAAACAGGAGATGGTGTTGGCTTGAACTTCGATCTGGGTAGTCAGAGTGGTGAGAAATGGTCATAGTTGACTCATTTTGAAAGTAGAGCTGATAGGATTTGCTGAATGACCAGTGGTAGAGGATGTGGGTTAGGGAGAAAGAGCATCTTTCACAACTCTTTCCTAAAATGCAAAGTCAAGATTACAGAATGGAGTGATCAAAAAAAAGGGAAGTTGCCCAATGTTTTGGAATTTTAAAAATTATTTCATTATATATTTGTTTGGTGAACTTATTCGGTAGATTTAATTGCATGTGTGTAATTCTGGAATGTCCATGTCGTGATTTGGTTCCCTTGGCAACTGCCCAGAGGTGCTGGAGTGTAAGGTGTAAGGGCTCCCCACAGGACTCTCTGCATGCCTTCAGGGATGATCGAAGCTGCCAAACCCTCAGACCCAGTACTGCCCCCGCAGAAGGTCTCAGGGGTGTTCCCCAAATAACACAGAAATGAGTCAAATGCCTCACAAAGTGGAGTAGACAGAGTTGTGACCAAAAAAATAAAACACAGGCAGAGCAAGTTTTAAACAGTTTGGAAACTCAAGAGCTGGAACACAGTAGTAAGGTGGAAATGTCAGATAATATGAAACTTTTTAACCTGGAGAAGTAAAGTCACCGGCATGGTTTGATAACTTGACTGAGTATGCAAAGCATTACAGCTCAATAAATGGTGGCAGCTCTCCCCTTATCTACAGGAGATAACCCGAGGGATTTAGGTCAGCTATAAGGCAGAGCTTATTTGCGGCAAAGATTATTAAATAATGGAAGGAGTGCCTGAAGAATCTCCAGAGGCGTTTTTCAATACCTCAGGGACATATTTTGACACGGTAGTGCTGGACTTCTCCACAAGATGGCAATCACGGGTTGACTCCAATTTTTGTTTTGATAAAAATATCTATAAAGTTTACTTTGGCAGGAAAAAGTAAAGAACCGTGACTTATGCTTCGCTGTCATATTTTGTATTATATTATCTATGGATGAGTTATATTTTTCCAACCCACCATCTCCACTTATGGAGTTTTAAAACATATTATTTTGTAAGGCTGGGGGAGGCATGTTGCAATATTGGAGTGGCAAATCTCTCTCTCTGTTCTCACATCCCAACATCAGGATATTGATCTTCTTTTTGGAAACATTGCGAAACAAAGTTTCACATGCCTTACAAGTCTGAAATGAGGTATGTCCTAAAACCTGGTAAATAGAAGAAAGTTGGTTAGAAACCTAGATGTCTCCTCAAACAAGAAATTATGATTTTGGTTAAGGGATATGGAAATAGTGCATTTTGCAAAATGATCTTAAAGGATTATTGCTGCTTTAAGAAGCAAGAATTTTTATTCTTTATATTTGAAATGGAATATCTTTAATTTAAAATTCAGAGGACAAATGCCCTCTTCTTTTTTTTCTAAAAAGAAATTAACTACTACTACTCATCTTGTGTAGACGTTATAAAGCTTCAGGTCATGTACTCAAAGGTACCTGCTGAAACTTTATTCATTTATAACAACTGTATTCTCTATTTTGTACCTCTATTTTGCCTGATGGCCAAAAAGAAACATGTTCATTATCCGCATATTAATTCAGAATTTCGTCTCCCTTCTTTCTCCCTGGAATTAGTTCTGGATGTAGAAACAGCCTCTGGATGGCAGGGAGGATATCTGGTTCTGGTATTTGTGCATGTGGTGTCTCTGACATGGACATTCATATATTTGGGCCAGGAGCATGGCCAGTCCTCCGTGCTGGCATCCACTGAAAATCATGCGGTTCTCACTGCTTTCCTTGTCGCATAAACTGTTATCTGCCTCCTAGTATGGCATCCCCTCACTACAACCACAAAGCCAATGTCCATGATCTTTCATTGGCGTAGGATGATATTCCATGCTACTCAGAGACCTGCTGAGAGCCGCTGGTCTGGTGCAGTGTGCTCTACTGGGCTGCCTCTCACTGCAGTGTCTACTGTGACACTGCTGTTTTCCAGCCTGCACAGTTGGGTTGCTGTATGTGTTGCAGCTGACAGGCATTTGGGTCCTGCCTTTATAACCTCCACCTGAGGACTTGAGGTTTGTGATGTCAGGAATACAGGTCTCTCTGATGCTTTTTTTGTTTTCCCCACTTCTCTCTACCTCTGTCCTTCATTGCGTAATACAGATATCTACACTGTAAGATCTGTATGTCAGTTTCAGCTACTGGCTCATCAGTTAGAAAATCCAGAAGACAGTGTATGTATGTATAGGCAGGGTGTTTGATTTGTCTGTCTTAATGTATCTGAAGAATAGTTGGCAAACCAGTGTTGATGCAGCACACTTTGGGGTGGCAGGGGGGAGGGTGAGAAAAAGCATAAGTTACGGACGATAGCTAAGATACACTAGGATAGATCCAGGATCCTCCAGCTACTAGCTGTGTGAGACCTTGAATAAGTCACTTAACCCAACTGAGATTAGGTTTCCTGATCTATGGTCTAGAAAGCACCATATGAGATTCGAAAGATGTATTTGATATCAATTTGTGAAAAGTAAATGTATATTATACCTTTTTCCTGTTTAATTTAAAACTATGTAGGTAAGAGCTAAATTAGGACAGAAGTATTTAAAGCCTTGATTTCTTTTTTCTAAACTCTGAGGTTTAGGGGTATATGAGCAGGTTTGTTATATAGATAAACTGTGTCACAGGGGTTTGGTGTACAAATTATTTCATCACCTGGGCACTAAGCTTAGTATTCAATAGTTATTTTTTCTGATCCTCTCCCTCCTCCCGTTCTTTACCCTCAAGTATACCCTGGTGTTTGTTGTTCTCCTTTTTGTGTCCATGTGTTCTCACCATTTAGCTCCCACTTATCAATGAGAACATTCAGTATTTGTTTTTCTGTTCCTATGTTAGTTTGCTAAGGATAATGGCCTCCAGCTCCATCCATGTTCCTGCAAAGGACATGATCTCCTTGTTTTTATGTAAAGCCTTGATTTCAGTAACTTAATTTTATAAGGCAGTTTATGTACAGTTGATACATGGTTTGAAAGAAGTATATAAAATTTGCTCATTTTCAATGGCCTGAATATAAAAATTATGTGTATAAATAAACTCAAGATGTCCCATATTATTCTACATATAAAATTAATGTCATAAAACTACCATGTTGGAAAAATATACACTTTTTACTTTGGCTAGGCGTACTATCAAATCCCTCTTCATTAATAAGGGTTTTAAAAGAGAGAATAAAGAAGAGTTAAAGGGAAACATGGATAAATTTAGGCAGAATGAATGAACAAATGTTATTGGAAACACTGAAAAAATTATTTCAGATGGCATTGTAGATGTCAGAGGGTTTTCAATACAAGTATTTAAGTTGACATGAATTGCAGATGGCTAATAATACATCAGAATAATTAAATTATAGATTGCAAATAGCACTTATGTGGGTAACTTCCCAGTTGTTCTTTACACAGTATTTGGTGCAAAACTCTCCTCCTCTGGGCTTGAAAATGTCAACTTAGGTTTCATAAAATATGCCAAAGGGGAATTTCATGTGTGCTTTGCAATATGCTGGTTTCTACCGCAGTTCCCTTCCCACTGTGGTTATGTATCACATGTGTACTTCCCTCCGTGAGTGCATTGGAGCTGCAGTGGTGAGGGAGAGAGTTGCCTGCCCAGCTTGATATAAGTGACAGCTCAACGGGGTTTCACTGGATCATTTATAAAGTTTTAGATGGTGGTCACTGCCAGCTCAGAAGATAATTATAATAAGTGAATTTTGTCTGGAAGCCAGAGAAAGAAAATCTATCTGGCGTTGTGATAAAAGAAGACGACTTTATTGTTTTACCAGCCCCTGTACTTGCAGCTGGAGTCTGTGGCAACGGTTGGGTATGGAACTCAGGCTCTCCCTCTCATGCCTTTCTGAACCCAGAACAAAGCAATTCATTTTTAGACAAAACCATTTAGAGGACAACCAATTTCACTGCAAGCATCCTGGAATCCAACAGCTTAATATGGCTCTGGTTGGAATGACATCTCTAAAATTGTATCTTTGCTGCTGTGTGACTCCTAGTGTTTCCTATAATTTGGTAGCAGAAACCATATGTCTTTGTGCCTACTGTGTGCAGTCCCCTGTGGCGGGCTGCTGCCATCCTAGCTATGTGACTGCCCTGTGATAGGAAGTAAGCCTCAAAGCACGCTCCTCTAGGAGGCAGGGAGAGGATGAGTGAGAAATTTCTTACTAGGTAGACAAGTAGCTGAGCTCATTATATGGCTTTGTCCACTGTGTCTCTTTTGAAAGGAGATTGCTCATTCTTTTAAGCAAAAGAACAATTTTACTAGTAAATGAGATTTTCTCTGCAAAGCTGGTCTCAAGAAATGACATATACGTAGCCCTGTAATAGATTCTGATAACTTAATTAAAGCTAATGCAATATGCAATTCCAGTGCATTGTCAATCTTGGTCAAATGTGTGCTTCATTTTAACTGGCAGTGCAAATCACTTGTGAGGGTACAGGAATAACATGCAATCCAAAAGAATCCATATAGCAGCATCTTTTTATTGATTTGAAGGGAAGTACAGCATATTATGGTGGGGCTATATACAAAACCCTCATTTTAAGGGTAATGAGACTCAGATATTACCATAGATAAGCAGCATCAGATATTCATGCGTCTGAAAATTGTCTGTTGTTTCAATTCATATAAAGTAAATCTTTTCCACATCAATTTCTTTTATGATCTTGGGTTATTGCTTGAGTGCTCAGTCTTAAGATAAGTTTACTGGTTTAAGAATTTAATAAAATTTACTATTAAAAATGGAAAATGTACAAATATATTGTCTATATTTTTTTCCATGGCTCTTGTTATGACAAAATCCAAACATAAGAAAAGAGGAAAATATTTGTGAGAAATGAAAGAAGTATTATTGGATTCACAGACCCTTCACAATACCCAGGAAAGCACACTGTTAGAATTGCATTTACTTCACCTCCTGTTGTGTCACATACGATGTCAAGAAGATATTTTTATGAAGTAAGTCATATCATTTTCACCATATTACTACAGTTTTCCTGAACTGCTCAATGGGAATGTTTTAATTCTCACATAGACTTTCTAAGTCCATCTGTGAAAGTGGAAATAGGCTAGTAAAAGTGCCAAGAAACAACACCTGCTCAGAAACATGAGAGCCAACCTGCTCCTCCCTGCCCATGCCCAAGTTCAGAGCATGATCTAACAGTTTGAGTGTTATCACATTAGAAGCAGACAAGCAGTTTACATAGACCAAACTAGGCAGTAGGTAGGATAAGAGCAATTGGTCATTGGTCACTCATGGACAGATTTCAAAAGCAAAAAGTTAAGAGATGTATCACACAGGTGATTCTGTTTCAATAGAGCCCATTCTTGCTGAATGAGACAAAGAACTTTCTCAATAAAAATTAAGGGCCTCATAGGATAGGCAAAGAGGCCTGCAAACCATCCCTCCAAGGAGTGACCGTCCAACCACACCTAGGAGCTTCTCTAGCCAAGTCCCTGCTGCTGTCTGGGCCGGATCTATACACAGAGATTAGGTTCAAAAGGCTGTGACCCTGAAAAGCAAATAGCTCTGCTGTCATCCTCAGCAAAAGTGAAACATGCAGGGTTCTTGCTTCCTATCCACTGTCTTTCACATTAAAGTGAATCTTGTGGTTATCTTGGAGGCAACAAAGTCTAACGGAAACCTGGGCCACCACGGGCACATGCCTACTTTGACCTTGCCAAAACTCTACAGTCCTATTTTCCTTTCCTTTCTCCTTTCCTTCCTTTGACGGAGTCTTGCTCTGTCGCCTGGGTTGGAGTACACTGACAATCTTAGCTCACAGCAACCTCCGCCTCCCAGGTTCAAGTGATTTTCCTGCATCAGCCTCCCGAGTAGCTGGTATTACAGGCACGTGCCACCATACCCAGCTAGTTTTTGTATTTTTAGTAGAGACAGGGTTTCACCATGTTGGCCAGGCTGGTCTCGAACTCCTGACCTCAGGTAACCCGCCCTCCTTGGCCTCCCAAAGTGCTGGGATTACAGGCGTGAGCCACCATGCCCAGCATGTACAGTCCTCTTTCAAATGCACTGTCAGCCACACAAACACAACATGGGCTTTTGCCAGTGAAACAGGCACTTCCTTTTCAAGACTAGCATCGTAAGCAATAAGAGGACTCAGAGAGCAAAAGTCATTGATTGTTACCTTTCAGCCGCGAGTGGCTGAGTAGAATGACATGTGTTTTCTACATTGTGCATGAACAACTTTTTAAGGGGACTTCTGTTCTTATGTCACTGGTATGCCAAAATGGGGGAAAATGCTTGTGGTACTTGTTGTGTAGTTTGCAGTTTATTTATGTATAAGATTGAAGTGCAGCTAAAATAAAGATTAATTAGTTTTTATGTGTGACTGTTACAATTGGTGTATTCCTTTAATATTGTCTAAAACATTAAAACTTTTTTTTTTTTTTGACATGGAGTCTTGCCCTGTCACCACGCTGGAGTGCAGTGGTGTGATCTTGGCTCACTGCAACCTCTGCCTCCAGGGTTCAAGCAATTCCCCTGCCTCAGCCTCCGGAGTAGCAGGGAATACAGGCACGCGCCACCATGCCCAGCTAATTTTTGTATTTTTAATACAGACGGGGTTTCACTATGTTGGCCAGGATGGTCTCGATCTCCTGACCACATGATCCACCTGCCTTGGCCTCCCAAAGTGCTGTGATTACAGGCGTGAGCCACTGCGCCCAGCCCATTTCTTGTTTCCTTAAAAGGCTTTATTATTATTATTTTTTTAGTGTGGAACTTTAATAACACTTTAGTATTTAATAGTATGTAAAAGTTCTTCGTGTACTATAAGAAAATTCAGTTTTTATATATGTATTTTTTGGAAGTCTTTTCATTTATATATGTTATTTATGTTAGAAACAAGTTAAATGGACACCTTAAATAATTTTAAAATGCCCTCTTGTGTAAATGTTTAAAATATAACTATAGATAGTTTTAAATACAGTGAAGACCTGTTATATAGAATTAGTAATTATGGTGTTAAGAAAATCAGTATAAATTCTGTAGGTTTATGTTCATATCAAAATCTTCTGAATACTAAAACTCATTGACCAGGCACAGTGGCTCATGACCATAATCTCAGCACTCTGGGAGGCCCAGATGGGAAGATCACTTGAGCCCAGGAGCTTGAAGCTGTAGTGAGCTTTGACAGTAGCACTGCACTCCAGCCTGGGTAACAAAGGAAGACCCTCTCTCAAAAAAACCTCCCAAAATAAAAAATAAGACAGAAAAACATAGCTCATTTGCTGTGGTATACCTTCATCCTATATAAAATTTACTGATATTCAGTGTGAAATACTCACACTGGAGTCCCTCTCTTTATTAGTGAATTTGGAGGGATGTTTGATGCAAAGAAGTTTCAAGGTTCCATGATTTGCCATGACTGAGGGAGAGAAGATGGAAAACTCTACATAACCCTCTTCCAAAAAGCACAGAAAAAAAGTATGAGGCAGCAAATAGTGTCTGCAGCAGAAAACACACATGTAGCACAATGAGCCCTCTGAACCACAAGAACACAATGGGACTAAACCAAGGATATGAGTTCCTTGTGGTTAGCCAGCAGAGCAGGAAGTCAGATAATTTTAGGGCATATTAATGTATTCATAGAACCCAATTTATTTCTGTATTTAAAGTAAATGTAAACATTTGCAGATGAAAAAGCCAATGAGTTTGTACAAACAGAAATGAGTTCCTAAATGGACTAAACAATCAATAAAGAGGAGTAGAGGATAAGAATATTGTGGGATGTTGGATTATAAATAAGAGATCTTGACTATATAAGCAAGTTCTTAATAGACCAAATTGGATGAATGCTTTTTCCAATTTCTAATGACAAACTGGAAGTTCATCTTGGGAGCCAGAGTATGGTACTCTTTAATGTACTTATTTATTTAAAAATACTTACTAAGCACATCTTTGCAAGGTGAACGAAACAGATAATGTATTGAGGAAGACAAATATTAAGTAAATGAACCTATCACATGTGATAAGAATGCTGAGAAAGTAAACAGGCTAATATGTATAGAATGGGTATGTGCCAAGGACAAGTGATCATAATTGATCAAAAGAAGACACTGGGAGGCTGAGGCGGGCAGATCATGAGGTCAAGAGATTGAGACCATCCTGGCTAACACAGTGAAACCCCATCTCTACTAAAAATACAAACAATTAGCTGGGCATGGTGGCACGTCCTGTAGTCCCAGCTACTCAGGAGGCTGAGTCAGGAGAATGGTGTGAACCCGGGAGGTGGAGCTTGCAGTGAGCCGAGATCGTGCCACTGCACTCCAGCCTGGGTGACAGAGCGAGACTCCGTGTCAAAAAAAAAAAAAAAAAAAGATAAAATATTTAATAAATGAACATATCACATGTGATAAGAATGCTGAGAAAGTAAACAGGGTATATGTTTAGAATGGTTATGTACCAAGGACAACTGATCATAATTGGGCAGACAGTAATCTGGAGGAGAGGAGGGAAGGCTCCTGGACCCCATTGCACTAATTTTGCCAGTGTTGTAAAAACAGCCTTTTACACCCTAGATCTTTCTCCTTCTCTTCATACACATCTCAAAAAAGTTCTGGCAGACAGGGCATAGAGAGCTTCGTATATTTGCCATGATCTCCCTTCTTCTCCCTTTGCTTATCTCCTGAGTACCTTGTTTAATTAGGGATGTCTGGTGACCATGCTGTCCTGGAGAGAATAAGAATTAGTAAAAAGAGTGCTTCTTTTTCCAGTATTGACCTATGTGCTAAGGGGATATTCAGAGTCCTTCCAATAGAGCCAATTTTATTTATTCTTACTTCCCATCTCCACTCCCACCTTAATACTGATGCATGTGAAGAAGCAGAAATGGGAGGAAAACACAGTTAAGGACAAAACTAGAATGGAAGCAATGTGTAGATGCTTGGTGCACTAGGAAGATTGTGAGGAGTCTAGTGTGAGCAAAAGATGAATTTGGTTTTTAAAAAAATCACCTTATTTGACTATAAAACATTTGAATTTTTTATTTGGATGTTAAGATTTTCCTGGATCTTACATATTTGGGTGACCTCATCTTATTGATAATTTATACTCTAAACATCTTTAGAGGTATTATAACAAGTCCTTGAATTTACTCATAGTAACCGTAACAAAAGGTATACAGTACTTTACCTCTTTAAGTTTATTCATTCATAAAACATGGTAAGTAGCAGATACTGTGCTAGACCCTCACAAAAGTGAGTATGACAAAAATGACTTTTTCCAATTTCTTTAAGCTCAGAGTTCCCTAAAACAAAGCACCCCAAAAATCAAACAAGTAAAATAATAGAGCAATTGTATACAGACTTTACTTGAATGTTATTCTGGAGTAGGGAATATCTACTTCTTTTTATTTATTTATTTTTTATTTTATTATTATTATACTTTAAGTTTTAGGGTACATGTGCACAACGTGCAGGTTTGTTACAAAGAGATTGACCCAGAAATCTCTTGATTTTATTAGCTCAAGAGATGAGAACAAGAAGACAGAGGCTATGGAAAATTTTAGCGTGGTATCCATGCTGGTTATTTGCTCAAATTCTTCTCTCAGTTTCTACTTGTGGGCTCTATATTGCTGTGGGAGGACTTGGTCAGGCTGTGTTTCCTTGACTCCTAAGTTACCTGATTTCCGGCTGGCTCTGGCCACTGGGAGACATTGGAGAAAGATTTGAGGCAGTGAGGACAAGCCAGGGTATTTCCCCCCACCTCATTCTACCTCAAGTGGTATCTCCAGCAGCGGCTGCATCTCTTCTGTGGCTCCAACTCCTACAAGTCAGCCCCCTTTTCCACTATTTAGGCTTTCCTGGGTAAAGATTACAGTTCTAGCCCTTGCTGGCTGGATTTGACTTCTGTAGTCCAGCTGTACCACCTCTGCTATTGCGTCTCTAGAGAGCTGTAGAGATGACAGTCTGCTTGCTGTTGCTAATCTTTGGGTTGCCTGTTCATCCTCTGTTTGGCTTCCCAACTCTTTAATTACTGGGAAGCCAAATCCCTGTGTTAAGTGTCTCCTGTTTGAAATGCCTCAAGTGATGACTAACAGAGTATCCAATGCTGTCTCAAAGCACTATGCCTTTCCCATGAGTAGAGACAATATTCTAGGGCTGAGAAAATGGACCTTCAAAAGAAGCTCTGCCTCGGCAGACCACTTTGAGCAATGTTATTTCTGTACTGTTTGAACAGTCTTCTTGATTTTTTCCTTTTGTATCTTCATCAACCCCTGCTGCCTTGTCCTCAAAATGCACTTAGACTATGCTTCTTTTACTTACCTTTTCTAAAATATTACTTTCCAATTGCTTCTCCTACTGACCTCAGCTTCATATTTATTTTAGCCAGCTGAGACTTAGATGACCTGTCTCCACTATTCCTGGGATCTCACCATAGTCTCCTTTCGCCTTTGGCATTCTCAGTGATAGTATTAGTATTTGGCTGAATGCTTTCCTGCCTCTCTGCAGATCATAGGTGTTGACACAATAAAGACAAAAGACTACTTGATTAGCTCATGAGTAACTCAGTGCAAACCTGCCTACTTCTTATAAGTTTGCAGCCATTTTAGTGACGTTATCGTAACGTATATAGTAGAAGGAACCCAAAGCAAGCTGTGGGGAGACTTATTTCCTGGCTCTGTCTTTGAACATATGTGATATGTACAGAAAAAAAAGAACCTTAGTACCAGCTCTCCCACCTGACTGAATTGTTCAGAAGGCCAAATAAGAGACTAAAAGTATAATAAAGTTAATAGTCCGCTGCTTGATTTAAACATGTGTTACTTTATTCCAATGATTCCATGAGGTGGTTATCATTCCAGCTGAGAAAACTTAGGCTAAGGCCAAGTGACTTGTCCAAGGTCATATATAGAATAAGTGGCATATCCAGAGTTCTAACCCTGTTTGCTTACCTTCAATGCCCATGTTCTTTCCACTCTACCTGCCTCTGGATGTGAAAAGATTATTAATCAAATTGCTTTAGGAAAACAAGTGTTACATGTAGTACAAATTCTGCAGCATAGCAGGAGACATTATCCTTCTTGGAATCAAGGCCGTCACATACCAGAGAAAATAACCATCAGATTAATTGTTCTTTCTACACAGCTGATGTACTTCACAACCATCTGAGCTATTTCCTCTCTGAGTGAAAGCATTTGATTTTTTAAAATAATCTATGTTCATATCTCTGTCTTTGGCTATACAGCCTTTCTTCTTGGACCTTTAGCTATAGACCCTGGTGGGAGCAGGAGTGCATTTGATCTCTTGAGCCTGCATAAAGACCCACAGTGCTGTGGACAAAAAGTGATGCATGCAATAAACAGTGTTAGCTGGCAGTTCTCTGCAAATCAAGGTAATCTAGCTGTTGGCTGTTTGCTTTAAAAGTTCAATGAAATGCATTGGCTTAAGTTTTGCTTTTGTTGTATCACAAAAAGGACTCTGAGAACTTTCAAAGACATGCTGAAACAATCATTCAAATATTTTCCCCATATTTTTACTGTACACTGAGTGTTCTGACAATGTGTTATGCTGCATTTTGCCACATTTTGACTGTCATTCTGCTTGCTCCATGTTATGTTTATTGCTGCTCATTCAGATTACAGATTCAAACTGAAGTTCACCATGCTGATATCATGTGTAGACATTAAAAGAAGGAATATTTTTCTTCCCTGGATTTCTGACATTGTTGAAAAGATTCTAATTCTGTATATCTTATCTTTTTTTTGAACACACAGAGAAATGAATAAAGATGACCTTTTAGGTCAAAAATATTTTTTGGATATTTGGAATTTATCAATGACTATGCACTGTCAAAAAACACCTGCCTATTTTGTGGCAATAAAGAGCAGCCTATCTGTCAGCCTCAGCTTGATAAGAGCACTCTACTTGCTTCTTCATTTTCCAGGGAGGGAAAATAGCTGTAGATTCAAGGGCTCTGTAATAAAACATTGATCTCATTGGGACATTTATTAGCACATTCAGCTACCGATGATAAAATTGCCAAGTCTCTTGAACACATACTTATTTTCTTTTTGTCTTTTTTTGGGGCAGGGTTAAACACAATTATTACCATTTTCCAGTCTTATGTATCATTAGGAGTTTCACCAGAAACTTTGTTTTTATGCAGTAAGGTTCTGAAGCAGGATGAAGGGGGCCGCAGAAGGGAGCTGTGTGGGCAAGAAGCATAGACAACTTATTTTCAAATTCTGTTGAATAGTCCTGGAAGTGTCACTGCTCCACCTAGACATGCCGAGTGCATTTTGATTTATCTCCACAGGTGACCAAAGCAATCATAGGATGTAAAGTGTCCATTTGGCCACTCCAGGCTGACAAGATGGCAAGTTGCCTCTGGAGCAGTACCTCTCCAGCTGCTGCACTGGAAATAAAAGAAAAAGGCAATGGTAACCTAGAAAGGCAGAAGGAAACTAGTAAGAAACTGCAAGGCATTTCTAGAGTGATTGTTTAGGGAATAACAAAGAAGCCGCCCTCTAAAAGCAGACAGTAGGTTAGCACAGGGGTTGGCAAACCATTTCTGTCAAGGGCCAGATAGTAAAAGTTTTAGGCTTTGTAATCGTACTTTCTCTGTTGCAACTGTTCAACTTCATTATCATAGCCTAAAAGCAGCCATAGACAATACATTATCTTTGGCAATTAGCAGACTTTAGGTTTATTTTTTTTGTAAACATTTTCTGTACACTTATATTAGGCTATTTAAGGTGGTAGAAACAAGGGAGAATAGTGCCTGACTAATATAGTCATGTACCACATAATCACATTTTGGTCAATGATAGGCTGTTTATACACTGTCGGTCGCATAATACTAGAATTGAGCTGAAAAATTGCTATTGCTGAGTGACACAGTAGCCACCATAATGTCATAGCACAATACTATTCACGTGTTTGCAGTGATACTGTTGTATACAAACCTGCACTGCTGGTCCTATAAAAGTCTAGCACATAAAATTATGTACAGTACATAATAGTTGATAATAAGTGATTGTTATTTAAGTATTTACTACATTTAAATTATTATTTTAGAGTGTATTCCCTCTACTTATTTCTTAAAAAGTTAACTGTAAAGCAGCCTTAGGCAGGTCCTTCAGGAGGTATTCCAGAAGATGACATTGTTATCAGAGATGACAGCTCTATGCATGCTATTGCCCCTGAAGATCTTCCAGTGCAACAAGAATATGGTGGTAGAACACAACAATATTGGTCACTCCGACCCTGTGTAGGCCTAGGCAGATTGTGTTGTCTTAGTTTTTAGCAAAAAAATGTAAAGTTAAAGAAATTTAAAAATAGAATAAAGCTTATAAAATAAGGATATGAAGAAAAATAGTTTTGTACAGCTGTGCAATATGTATTTTAAGCTAAGCATTA